>NC_000003.12:126129816-126281331 GCF_000001405.40 Homo sapiens | reverse complement strand
TGGAAAACAGTCTGGCAGCTTCTCAAAAAGTTAAATGTGGAGTTACCATTAGACCAGCAGTACTTTTTCCAAGACGACTGAAATATGTCCACATAAAAACTTGTACATGAATCTTCATAGCAGCATGATTTGTAATAGCCAAGAGGTAAAAATAACCAAAATGCTCATCAAATAATAAATGAATAAACAAAATGTGGTTTATCCATACAATAGGAATATTATTTGGTCATAAAAAGGAACCAAGTACTAATACATGCTTCATACAATATGATTGAACCTTGAAAACATCATGCTAAGTGAAAGAAGCCAGTCATAGAGGATCACATATTATATGATTCCATTTACATGAAATGTCAAAGAGCCCTGTTGCTTTGGTCTGTAGGGATAGCAGATGGGGCTGGGGTGGGATAGTAGCTAAAGTGTACCAGGTTTCTTACTGAGGAAATGAAAATGTTCTGTAATTGAATCTGGTAATAGTTGCACAACTTTGTGAATATACTTAAAAACATTTAATTGCACACTTTCAATGAGTGAGTTGCATGGCACATGAATTGTATCTTAATAAAGCTGTTAGAAAAAAATTAAGTAAATGGGCGCAAACCAATGTAGGGAAACAATAACAATAAAAGTCAACTAAAGGCATATAAAGAGAATTAAATAAGCAGTGACTTTCCAGATTCCTGGAAAAGGAGATTCAACATTTTAGAGACAGAATTTCTTTTAAATTAATCTACTGATTCATTTCAAGTCCATTCAAATGGAAGTGATTTGAAATTCAATGGTTGATTCTAAATTTAATCGGCAGGAATACATGTTTGAAAATAGTTCAGATATTTTTGAAACAAAAAAAAGCAATGTGGTTATTTGTATTATCAGATGCGATATCATATTATAAAAGCACAGTGATTGAAAGAATTCTTCAGGGCACAGGAAAAGGCAAATAGAGCAATGCAGGAGTACAGAGAAACAAAACCAGTGTCTTGCATGCCCGGCCCTTTAGTAGGTGATAAAAGTGGCATTCCAAATCAATAAAATGGATTGCAGTTCACCCTTGGATAATGCAGGGGTTAAGAACACCCCTCACCTCCCATGCAGATGAACACTTGTGTATAACTTTTGGCTCCCCCAAAACTTAACTACTAATAGTTTATTGTTGACCAGAAATCTTACTGATAACATAAACAGTTGATTTACACATATTATGCATGTTATATGTATTATGCACTGTATTCTTACAATAAAGTAAGCTAGAGAAAAGAAAATGTTATTAAGAAAATGCTGAGGAAGGGAAAACATATTTACTATTCATTAAGTGGAAGTGGATCATCATAAAAGTCTTCATCCTCATCATCTTTGTGTTAAGTAGACTGAGGAGGAGGAGGAAGAGGAAGGGTTGGTCTTGCTGTCTCAGAGGTGGCAGAGGCGGGTGAAAATTTGCCTATAAGTGGCAAACCCTTGCAGTTGAAACCCTTGTTGTTCAAGAGTCACCTGCATTTGGTAAATAACATTGGGCTTTATGGCCAAAATCAGTAAAAGTTAGATTTCTTCCACATACCTATCCATAAGAATAAATTCCAGAAGAAATAAATATTAAGACTTTAAAAATAAAACCTTAAAGGAATTAGAATAAAATATGGAAAATGAATTCTATAAACTTGGCATAGAGAAGGCTGTTGTCAGCCAGCAGAAAAGGTTGATTTCCCATAAAAACTAAAATTTCCACATGGTAAAGGCCTTAAAATAAATGATGGAATGAAAAAAAAATAGTTTAAAAATTTCAACATTTGTGGATATTTTAAGATCTGAAATATATAAAGTATTCTTAAATTCAATAAGAAGAAGATATACATACACATATAAGACCCTTCAAATATTATGTATGTAAAAAATACATGAGTTGAATTTAGCCTGAGAACGTCTTTGCCATCACAGGATTTTTTTTTTTTTTTTTTAGACAAAGTCTCGTTCTGTTGCCCAGGCTGGAGTGCAGTGGCATGATTTCGGCTCACTGCAACCTCCACCTCCCGGATTCAAGTGATTCTCCTGCCTCAGCCTCCTGAGTAGCTGGGATTACAGGCGCGTGTCACCACACCCGGCTAATTTTTGTATTTTTAGTAGAGACAGGGTTTCACCATGTTGGTAAGGCTGGTGTCGAACTCCTGACCTCGTGATCTGCCCACCTTGACCTCCCAAAGTGCTGGGATTGCAGGCATGAGCCACCACGCCCGCCCCATCACAGGATTTTTTAAAGTGAAGTTGAAGGCTCTTCAGAAGGGAATGCACTGGTTGGTTTAAAGATCCTGGGTGCTAAGTGAATACTCACCGCGGAGGGATCTTGGCAAAGGAGAACCCGAGGCCCTGGAAGGACAGGATCGTTGTTAGAGGGCACTCTTAAGCCCCAGGCCCTGTTTCAGGACGCTTAAACACTATCATCAAGTTATCACTGAGACCCAGAGAGATTAAATAACTTAACCAACATCACACAGCGAGTAGGTGGTGACGCTGGGATTTGAACCGAGTTAGCCTATTCCAGGAGTTGGCTGCAAACCACTGTAGCGCAGCTGCCAGGGAGCGGGGTGGGCTTTCCTCCATTCTGTTTCTCATGCCAGAAGCCTGGGAGCTCCCTGGACCCCTGTTCCTCTCCTGCCCGCACCATCCAGGGCTGTCTGTGCACCGATAGCGGGCCCCCGCAGGGCATGCCCCCCAAGCCCCCCACCCCTCAGGCCTTTCCCAGCTGCAGGACTCTCCACCAGCCTCTACTCCCCCTTGGATCCCTATATCCTACTTTCCACGCAGCAGCCCTGGGTGATCTCTTCACAGTGCAAATCGGATGTGTTTACTCCCGGTCCTGAAATCTCCCAGCAGCTCCTATTGCAGCTGGAGTCTAATCTTGTCCTTTGAATGGTACTGCCCCTCCCAGTGACCACTTTGGCCCTCACTGGCCTTGTGCTTCCACCTCACGGAGCAGGACGGGCAGTTTCCTCTGACTCTGCACCTGGGTGACCCCTACTCACTCTTACGTGGCAGGTTCACACCTCCTCTTCAGAGATGCTTTCCACCAGCACCAACTAGGAGGGAGGCCAGGACACCACTGGAGGAGCCAGGGAGGACACTCCTAAGACCTCTTGCTTCCAGCAGCGTCCCATTCCAGCACTAGTCCCCATGACAGCCTGGGCTCTGTGGTGCTAATGGGCAGCACTGTTTGCTCCCTTCCTAGAGGCTTAATTTCAACATCAGGTTGGCCACAGTCCTTCATTCCCATCCCAACCTCACAAGGCTCTGAAAACTGACATTTTGCTCATTAACAATTTGCCAGAAAAACCCGAATTGCCCTGAATTCATGTAGTGGCAAAACTTGACCTGAACTGACTGAAGCCATTATAGTCTTCACTTGCCCTACTTAGTATGAATACTCATAACTGTCACCATGGGAATGTTGATGCATACTACCGGGTGCTGCCTCAACCCCTGGAGAGAGTGTTACACAATACAGAGTGTGGACACTGAGTGCCTTCTAACACTTCATGGAGTCCGAGTTCAGAAGCCATCTGGCCTGGGGAGCTCAGGGCTCCCTCTTCTGTCTTCCAACACCTTGCCCCCTCTTGTCTGTTGTTGCTTCTCTGCCTCATCCTGTGGGGCTGGCGCAAAAGCTTGATTCTTGTAGGGGTATGGGAGGGAGGAAAGACAAGCATGTGAATTCACTGTCACATTTTACAGGATGGTGTCACTTTAACAATTCAGAAAGGAGGGAGAGCGAGCAAAAGAGAGAGAGAGAGAACACATAAGAACGTGTGATTCATGAATACCAGTGAAAGCAACCTGTCCCACATCTCCACCAGGATCACAACTCCAGCCCGTGAGATGTCAATGGCCATTCTGTGCCTGCAAATGTGATACTCTGAGGGCATGCTCATGGGTACCCAGCCTGGAACGAATAATCTGAATATAACTGATACGGTTTGGCTCTGTGTCCTCACCCAAATCTCATGTCAAATTGTAATCCCCAGTGTTGGAGGGGGACTTGGAAGGAAGTGATTGGATCATGGGGGTTGCTGTTCTCGTGATAGTGAGTGAGTTCTCCTGAGATTTGGTTTTTTAAAAGTGTGTGGCACCTCCCCCCACCCCTCTTCCTCCTGCTCTGGCCAAGTGAAGGTGTGCCTGCTTCCCCTTCACCTTCCACCATGATTGTAAGTTTCCCAAGGCCTTCCTAGCCATGCCTCCTGTACAGCCTGCAGAACCGTGAGCCAATTAAACCTCTTTACTTTATAAGTTACGCAGTCTCAGGTATTTCTTTATAGCAGTGTAAGAACAGATTTATACACTAACCAGCAAAATGAGAGATGCGTTCTTTATTAAACAAAGGGAGAAGGCATCATATGCTTCAGAAATGTTAATGTCATACAGAGTCAAAGAAGGGCTACAGAAATGTTCCAAATTAAAGAATGGGATGACTAAATGCAATACCTGATCCTAAACCTGATCCTGCACTGAAGGAAAGAAATACTATGAAAGGCATGATGAGATCAACAGACAAAATTGGCATATAGACATTGGACTTGAGAAAGAAATATATCAATGTAAAAGCCACTGAAATCAGTAACAGCACAATAAATGAAAATGCCTTATTGTTAGTAAATACACACTGGAATAGGGGTAAAGGCCTGTGATTTATGCAACTTACCCTGAAATGGTTCAGAAAGAAATTTTACATATATATATATATATATATAGATAGATAGATAGATAGATAGATAGATATGTAGATATATATATGTATATATACATGTATGTGTGTTCATGTATATACATGCCTATGTGTGTACATGTATACACACACATACATATAGACAGAGAAGATAGTAAAGCAACTGTGGCAAAATGCTAGCAATAGGTGACTCTGGGTAAATAATAAGTGGGCATTTGTACTTTTTTTTTTTGAGACAGAGTCTCACTCTGTCACCAGGCTGGAGTGCAGTGGTGCAGTCTCGGCTCACTGCAACCTCTGCCTCCCAGGTTCAAGTGATTCTCCTGCCTCAGCCTCCCAAGTAGCTGGCATTACAGGCATGCGCCACCACGCCCAGCTAATTTTTGTATTTTTACTGGAGACGGGGTTTCACCATGTTGGCCAGGATGGTCTTGATCTCTTGACCTCGTGATCTGCCCGCCTCGGCCTCCCAAAGTGCTGGGATTACAGGCATGAGCCACTGTACCCGGCCTCTTTGTACTATTCTTATTCTTACCATTTTCCTTCATTCTTTCATTTCCAAATGAAAAGGTAAAAATCTATTCATATCTTGCCCCTCGACATCTCCCATATAATCTTCGCTTCTTGCCTTATTAGCACTCATATCTTGTTTCACAGATTTTCCAGTTTTTTAGAGTTTTATTGAGATTGCTTTGCAAATGTTTGCTGAAATGTACATTTTGCTTTTGTAGTGAGTAGTCTCAACAAATATGCTCTTCCTCTGTGAGTGTAGCTTCCTGACAACTTCCTCAATTTTGCCCATGGCGGAACATTCAGTCTCTGTCTTCTCTGATCTAGAATCTTTTCAGGCCTCATTTCCCCCTGTTTACTCCTACTTGAAGGAGAGGAGATCCATATGGACCTGGTGCTTGTTGGTAAACAGAGTGGATGACTGCCCCTCCCGCTACCTCTTGAAAGAAGGGTAACTTGAGCAAAACATTTCTTGCCAACTTCCTGGTGGCCTAGAGGCTTTAGTGTCGTGAGCCTCTGCTGTCCTGAGAGTTGAGTCTTCTGAGAGCCTGTGGTCTGGCTGTTCTTCCACAAAGGCATGAGTTTATTCCCGCAGCTTGCAGCAATCTGCAGGGTTTTCCTCTGGCAAGAAAAATCAAAACCCAAAGCGCAAGGCCCCTGGGTCTCCTGGGCTCCCCCAGTAGGTCAGTGTGGCCTCTCAGAGGGCTCTTCTTGGGGCTGCTTAGGTGGCTGGGAATTGCAGTCTCAAGGTGGTGCTGGAAACGAAGCGTGGCCATGGGGGAGGAAGGCATCAGATAGCTGGCTGCCCCACACAGCTGTCACACGCTAATGCTCAGGGAAGGCCTCTGATGAGCTATTGAGCAATATTTCCAATTTCCAACACTGTTGAAACCTTGCCGTGTTTCACAAACTTTGCCTCCGCAATGTCTGGGTAGGGGAGACTGTGTCAGGAGTGGCTGAAATTTGCTATCAATACCAGTATTGAACTGTGTCTATTCAAGCCACGAAACACCTCCTGACCCCAAGAAAAGAAGGAAAAAAGAAAAAAGGAAAGAGGAAAGGGAAAAAGAAGAATGAAGGAAGAAAGGAGGAAGGAAGAAGAAAAAGGAAGAAGAAAGCTGCAAGGAAGGAGGGAAAGAAGGAGGAAAGAGGAAGAACAGAAGGTAAGAAGGAAAGGGGGAAGAAGAAAGGAAGATGGGAGGCAAGAAAGAAGAGGGAAGAAAGAGGGAGGAAGGAAAAAGGAAGAAGGAAGCAGAAGGGAGGATGGAAGGAAGGAATGAAAGTAGGGAGGAAGAAAAAAGAAGGAAGGAAGGAAGAGAGGAAGGGAGGGAGGGAGGGGAGGAACAGACGGAGGCTGCTGGGGACAGCAAGGTTGGGTGAGCAGTTCTGGGTCTGGTCTGTGAGCAGCTTCCTCTCTTTAGTGTCAGCCCACCCCTGCTCACTCAGACACCTTCTGAGCAGAGCTTCCCATCACTTCCAGGGTTAACATGACATTCAAAAGGTTCTCTGTGGTCTGGTTTCACCCTGCAGTGAAGCAAATTCTGACTTAACAATGGACATAATTCTTACCAGGCTATTGGAGGTTGGTCTTCCGCCACCATGGGGGTGGGTGGGAAGCAGAGCAAAGAGCTAGTCCCATCCTGCTGTGGGAGAGCTGTGAATCTTGCTGAAGGAGACCACACAGGCGCCAGGATGGGGCCTGAGAGGGGCAGGTCCAGGGAAATGGGCCCGTTGGGGGCGGGAGGGTGTAGGGTAGGGCCCCAAGGTGAGCTTCTGCAGCTGATTGGGAGCTTGCAAACTGAAGGTTTAGAGGGAGCAAGCAGAGCTTTGTGCAGATAGAGACAAAACTCGTGTGGGACTTCAGTCACAGGAAGGCCGGGCAGGCACAGAGGGTCACTGCAAGGGGTGCCAGAAGAGAGTTTAAGGTAGGAGCTGGTGAGCAACAGGGAGTGGCCAGTAGGGAAGGGACCAACAAGATGGTGGAGCCCTGGAGGGAGAGATGTGAGCCTCCTGGGCCTGCAGGGACGAAGAAGAGGAAGCCACTCCCAAAATATGCCCACAGGGCTGGGTGTGGGGGCAGGACAACCTGGGACTTTTATCCTGCCAGCCAATGTCAGAGCTTCCCATTGTCCTGCAGGACCCCAAGGGCGAGGGCCCCTAGAGGTGACCCTCCTAGGACACTGAGCAGATCAGAGGGTAAAAGGGGTTGGAAAATGCAGGGTAGCCCACCTAGGTGTCTGTGCATCCTCCCATTCATATGGGCAGTGGTCAGGATGGGAATCTGCAGAGGGAATGGAAGTGACGACTACTGAGTGCTGCCTCCACAGGGAGCTGTTCTGTGCGCTTCACATTAGGAATCACTCAACACTCATGCCTCTCTATGAGCAAGGGGTTATTTATGGCTCCATTTTGTAGAGAAAGAAGTTAAGGCATAGTCAGTGTTCCATGAGATGGCCACTCTTATCATCCTTATTGTACACCTGGGAAAGCCAAGGACAGAGAGAGCCACTACCTCGACTAGGAAGAATAAGCTGGGATTTGAACCCAGGAAGCCTGGCATCAGAGCTGAGCCCCTCACCACTGCCTCTGTTCAAGCCTGGCCAGGGTTGTACCAGGAGGCTTTTCTGCCATAGCTGAGATATTCTTATTCTTATCCTCCATACCCACTCCCTTGATTGTCTTCAACCCCTCCAGAATCACCCCTTTGCTCCCCTGCCCCAGCTCAAGCCCCTGTACTTTGTCTAGACCTCTTTGTCTAATCTCCCAATGTTTCTCATTAGTGGTCCTGACAGGCAGCCTGAGCCAAGCCTTTCTGCAGCTGCTCTTTGAGGTCAGCAGTATCTCGCCAATGCCCTTTTCCTTGTCAAGGTCATGAATTTCCCCATGCACTTGAACCACCTGTATTAGTATGTATGTAATCTTGTTCTTCCAATCAAGTCCTTACTGAAATATATTTATTTCAAAGGAAATGGCCAGGTAAAGTGGCTCGTGCCTGTGATACCAGCACATTGAGAGGCCAAGGCAGGAGAATCACTTGAGCCCAGGAGTTCCAGACCAGCCTGGGCAACACAGCCAGACCCCATCCCTGCAAGAAGTTTTTTAAAAACCAGCTATGTATGGAGGTGTACACTTTTGGTCCCAGCTACTCAGGAGGCTGAGGCAGGAATATCACTTGAGACCAGGAGGTTGAGGCTGCAGTGAGCCATGATCACACCACTACACTCCACCCTGGGCAACAGAGCAAAACTCTGTCTCAATTAAAAAAAAAAAGAAAAAGAAGGATTACAAAAAAGATAATGTCATATATCTCCCATAAATGGAAAATGATTCTTTCTAATACACCTTGAAATGAACAGAAAACTATTAAAATTAGAAAGACACACCCATAGACCATCTACAATCAGGAACTTTCTTCCATAGCACCATTTGAAATTGTACATTTATTTGTTATTATTTATGTGATAGGCTGTGAGCATTCAGTCTTTCAGTGATGAGTAGAAGAAAAAGGAAATAGCATGGGATGATGAAAAAAATACTAAAAAAGTGCAGAGGAAGATTTCTCTGAAAACAGCCTACTGCAAGACTAGATGAATATTTCAGAAAACTTCTGAGTCACAGTATGGATAGGTATCTCCAAGCTGATTGCCATCTGCTGTTATTAGCAGCTTCTCCAATACCTTGTTTTTTTTTTTAAGACAGGGTCTCACCCCATTGCCCAGGCTGGAGTGCAGTGGCACAATCATAGCTCCCTGCAGCCTCTACCTCCTGGGCTCAGGCGATCCTCTCACCTCAGCCTCCCCAGTAGCAGGGTCTGGGATTGTAGGCATGAGCCACTATGCCTGTCTAATTGTTTTACTTGCTGTGGACTTAGGGTCTCGCTATATTGCCCAGGCTTGCTTTGAACTGTCCACCTCAAGCGTTCCTCCCTCCCTAGTCTACCAAAGCACTGTAATTACAGGTGTAAACCCGAGCCCAGCCCCAAACCTTGTTGTTAATTTGAGTTTTGATCCAGGTTTTCAATCAGCAGTCTTTTGTTTGTTTGCTTTCTTGCTAGTTGTTTGTTTCCCATTCTTGATGTCTACTCCATTAAGGCAGGAGTCTTTTCTGTTTTTATTTATTTATTTATTTTGAGACGGAGTCTCGCTCTGTCGCCCAGGCTGGAGTGCAGTGGTGCGATCTCGGCTCACCGCAACCTCCACCTCCTGGGCTCAAGCGATTCTCCTGCCTCAGCCTGCCGAGTAGCTGAGATTACAGGTGCCTGCCACCACGCCCGGCTAATTTTTGTATTTTTTAGTAGAGATGGGGTTTTGCCATGTTGGTCAGGCTGGTCTTGAACTCCTGACCTCAGGTGATCCACCCAACTCGGCCTCCCAAAGTGCTGGGATTACAGGTGTGAGCCACTGTGCCCAGCCTTTTTTTTTTTTCTTCTTTTTTTCTTTTTTTTACAATCACTAGATGAATATTCCCTGCCTGGATGAACGTGGCAAGTTTCATCTTGCCCCGTATTATCAAGAAGTAGAAAATGTCTGCAGTCAAACCTACTAGAGTTCATTTTTAATGCACAGATTGGTTCGTATTTATTGACACAGTGAAACTTTAAATTTTTTTCTGGTCAAACCCATTTACCTTTTCCCTTATTGTTTTAATCTCTGGTTTCGTATTTATTAAGTTCTCCCTTACCCCCAAGATTACATAAATATTCACTGAAATATGCTTCTTGTGTTTTTATGGTTTCATGTTACGTTTGAATCTTTAATCCACCTAGAGTGAAAAACAGAAAGCTAACTTTATTTCATTTCAAGGGATTGGCCATTTGCCCAAACTGTTTATTGAAAAACGCCTATGATTTACACACTAATTTGAAAGGTCATCTTATCGCATATTAAATGCTTACATAACTTCCGGTGGGCATGTGGAGTTCTGATTCTGTGCCACTGCATTCCGGCATCAGGAATTCAATTTTTAAAAGACTTTTAGCTTTAATATCTGATAAGGCAAATCTCATTCCCTGCTGCTCTGGTTTTCTTTTCAAATATTTATTGCCAGAAAATGGACATTTTTGCAATATTGTGTCTTCCTATCCAGGGACATGTATACATATATCTCTCCATTTACTAAATAATTTGTGCTTCTCAGGTAATAGTTGGAGCCCTCTGACTTTAGGTCCTGTATGTGTTTCCTTGTTTAGTTTACTCCTAGGAATTTCTAATTTCTTATTGAATTGTGAATGGGGCCTTTTTTCCCCCAATATATTTTGTTACGACTATTTTGGGGCACTTGGCAAGCCGCAAAGTTTTGTATATTTATTTTGTAACTGGCCACCTCACTGAATTCTCTTTTCAACTTGAATAGCTCCTTTTCCCCTGTGGTTTTCTCTGGATGTTTGACTTCTGTGCCTTTTGTGGCAGAAGCCAGGCTGTCCAGGCTGAGTCCCAGCACTCTTGGGGGGACGGCTGACCCTCCTGGAATGGCCTTAGGAGGAGGCATTGCACCCTCCACTAGCGTTTAAGGATCACTCTCCAAACAAAATATTTTTTCCATGAAGGAGGTTTTTTTTAACGTCAGTTGGTATTTTGGTCAGGAATTACAGAATGTACTTCGCAACAAGTTAAAAACACACTGCTCTTTAAAACCAGGCCTTTTCCAACAAGATCAACAACAAATGTGTTACTTTTCTCACACCTTAGACATGTAGGAAAATGTGTACTCAGGGAGCTGGCCGGGCGCCCGCCTGGGGAGGGTGCCAGGCTGGATGAATGCTCTGGGGCAGGGGCTCTGCTTGTCCTTGTTGGCCAGCCTTTGAGGAGCTAGCTGCTAAGAGTCCCTTCAGAGTCCATGGGCACCCTGGTCCTTGGAGCGCAAGCCAGGGCAGCTGGCAGCCTCCACCCGGAAGGAGAGCTCCACCATGCAGGAGGGCTGGGCACATGTCTGTGTGTTTTGTTTGCATTGTCTCAGTAATGAGCCACATCACACAATGAGGAAGGTGCCTTTTCTCTCCTTTTAAGAAGAGAAACTGAGGCTTCACATGTTTAAAGTAATTTCCTCTAGGCCTTGTAGACGTTCAGGGACAGAACCTGGATTTAAACTCTATTTAATCCAGCGAGTCTCAAAATTTTAGTCTCAGGACCCCTTTTCACTCTTAATAAATTAAATAAAAATTGCTGAGGACCTTTTTTAAATGGTGAGTTACACCTATTGGTATTTAATGTATTTGAAATGAAAATGAAAAGCTTATTTATTTTTATTGATCTATATTAGGTTGTACATATTTTGGGGGTACATGTGATATTCTGATACACATATACAATGTGCAATGATCAAATCAAGGTAACTGGGATATATAAGACCTTAAACATGTGTCTTTTCTTTCTGTTGGGAACATTACAAATCTCTTTTAGCTATACTGAAATATACAAGAAAATATTGTTAACTTATAACACTTGTTCCTTCTACCTAACTGTATGTCTGTATCCCTTAACCAACTTTGGAGGAACTTTTAAAGCCCAGGAACACATGCTGTCAGAGTGGTGACGTCATGGCCCCTGCCCATTGGCTGTCGGAGCAGTGACATCATCATACCTGCTGGAAGTTGCTGCCATACCCCTGAGAGAGAATGAGACAGAAGTAACATGTTAACATTGTCACGAACAGAGTTTTCACCTTGAAGATGCCTTGAAAGTGTATCGGGGCCCCAGAGCTCTCTGGACCACTTTGAGAACCACTCAGTCCTCTAAACTGCTGAAAACTGGTGCCTTTGTGAACACAAATCAGGGCAACTTGGAGTTTCTGTGCTGGAAGGACGGCTTCAGAGGAGCTCATCGTGGCCAGAAAAATGCAGGAGGATGAAGAGGTCAGTGATGAAGAAAGAGCCAGCACACCTCTACTGAGTGACCTCTGTGCAGACAGCATTCCTAGTGCTGTCTGTACTTCCCTCATGATGGAGACACCAGGACCACTGCTGCCCACAGAGGCTAGAGACATGAAGGGGTTTGCCCAAGGTCACACCACACTGGGGAATGGCTCTAGGCGATTGAGCGGGGGGAGTGCCCTGCTGAGATGACCTTCAATTACCTGGCCAGCCCTCGCCAGCCCAGGACAGGCTCCTACCTGGTGTTTTAACCTGATGTTTGGTTGACAAAGCAGGGAGTGTTAGGGCCCAGCCTGTTCTAGCACCTTCTTCATCAATCAGCAAACCTCTAAGCACCTACTCTGCTCTGCAGGTGAATCTGGGAGGCAGACAGGAACAATCAACTGAACAAATACAGGATGCCAGCCTGTGTGAAGTGTAGCAGAGGGCGTGCAAAGACATCGCTCTGCCCTCGGGCTTCTGAAGAAGGTACTCTATAATCTAACCACCCAGTTGTCCCCATCTGCCTGCTAGGTGACCCGAAGGCCCACCCCATGTTCCCTCCTATGTAGCCTTTCTCCTTGCAGTTCCCTCTGCAGGGGCTGCCCTGCTGCCCCCCTTTCCCCGCCCCCCCCCCCCGCCCCCAACCTCCAGCTCCTGAAAGCTGTCCTCAGAGGCCCACAGCAAACCTGCACCCTTTCCAGCCTCACCTCTGGCCAGGGCCAGTGGCACCTGGAATCAAGCCGCCTTCTCCATGTTGCCCTTGCCCAATTCTGGGATGTGGCCAGAGTTGTCGTGGCAGAGTGTCTCGCACCATTTGTCCCAGACAAGTTGGTCGTCCCCCATCCCATGGGCCTCCCTGCCCACCTGGGTGCCAGGTCAGATTCTCCCTCTTCTCTCCTGTTTTCACGGCTCTGTCTCAAGGAAAGCCATGCTCCATCCCTCCATATGTCAGGACGTCCCCCAGATAGACCCCCGCCTGCCCCACTGCCCACCTACATCTAGGATCCATGCTGCCCACTGACCTCGCACAGGTGGTTCACAGGACCTGTCCTGGGGGAAGGCCTAGCTCAGCGGGGGAGGCAGTGGGACGGCACACACAGTGCTAAGAGAAGGGGCGCTGGAAAATGCAGGAGGATGAAGAGGACGGTCCCAGAGGAGAGTGTCACTGAGCTAAGGGAGATGTGGGGGTCAGGAGAGCAGAAACACACGGTGAAGGGCTGGGTCCTTGCAAAGGCAATCGGTACTGCCATCAACGGGAGGAGGTACCAGGCCTGGGACCCTAATGAATGGCACAAGCTACTTCCTGTCTCTGAGCCTCGATTTCCTCATCTGTAAAATGGGAGTGATAAAAAGACCTTCTCCTTAGAAGACCTGAGAGCAGGCGGCTTCATCCGCTTCAGTTGCGCAAAGGCGGCGCTGGCTGCCCCTGACGCCCCCGCCCTCTTGGCCTGGGCAGCTTTTCCCTGTCCCGGCCACAGCCACAAAGGCCGCCTGGGAGAGAGGAAGCTGCCGCTTAAGTGCCGCCGCACAGCGCCCTCCGCGGAGGGTAAATGGAGCCTCCGGCCACGGGCGCGCGGCTGGGCCGGGCTGCTCTGCAAACCGCTCACGTGCTCCTGCCTTTCCGAGCCGGGGACTGCGCCAGGGCGCGCAGGAAAAAACACAGCCCGGAGCTGCAAGAAGCCCTTCTTTCTTTTCTTTAATCACTCACTCCCCGGCTTTGCGTCTCCTCCCCTCGCTTGCGGGAATGTTATGAATGGAATGTACGGATTCCAGCCTGTGCGCGCGCGGCCAGGAATGCAGGGCGCAGCGACCTCTCGACCCACGGCCAGCGCACCGCCCCAGCGCCACAGCCTGGGATCCCAGAGCCACAGCCTGGGATCCCTGAGCCACAGCCTGGGATCCCTGAGCCGGCCCGGCCGCCACGAACACTCAGGGCCACGTGGCCTGACGTCTGCAGTGGGAGATTCAGACGGTAAGCATTCAAAGTGAGGCGAGAGAGCCAAGCAGCGCCGCCGGGACACACCGGGGCCACTCTCACGCTTCGGCCCTGGGGATGTGCGCACCGGCACACACAGCAGGGTGTATGCACACAAAAGGGTGCGCACACACACAGGGGCGCACACGCAGCCTTTGCATGCACAGAAACACCTCAGGTGGGGCACACATACACACATTGGTGTACAAACACACACTATGGTCTTTTCAAACCGATGCACATAGTAGGTGGTTTTTGCACACAAGGAGACCTACACTCACATTCCAGAAGCCTGCACATTGTGCACCCCTACCCACGTATAACTCCAGTGGTGTACACACAAAACATAGCTGGTTGTGTACCCAAATAAAAGGGGCGCACATATCCATGGCACAGCGTGCACACAGGCACAATAGTGGAGTGTTGTACTCACGAGGGACTCCAAACACAGCTCCATCGCCTTGGCGGACAGAGGCTCACAGAGGGCCCGAAGTCCTGGACACAGAATGCCAGCCCCTGGCTCCCTGGGCTGGAGGAGAAACCTTGGTTCCTCCCTCCCTTCTTAGCCCCCGCCCATCCCGGCCTGGCCTCTCAGGACTGAGTCTCCTGCAGATGTGAAGGGCTGGGAAAAGCTGCACAGAGAGGACGTTGAGGGGTGCAGTGGGGGGCCTCTTTTGGGGCTTGTGTGTGTGTTAAACCGTGACATGAGGGGCTAAAGGACTGGAAGCTGTTGCCTGGAGAACCGGAGTGCCCATAGGGGCTCCAAGGCTGATCCAAGCAGCGCCTGGCCTCCCCAGTCCTGCTCCTGGCCGCGGGTGGCCGCCAGCCAGCCCTGTGTCCATGCCAGCTCCACCACCTCCCTCTGGACACAGTGTTCTCTCTTGGGATACGGGGCAAACGTGAGCATCCCAGCCCCGTGGGAACCAGGGCATCCTGCCAACCCTTTCATTCATTCACTTATCCATCCAGTCATTTATTCATTCATTCAGGAACTGTTTGCTGACTGCCTACAACATGCCAGGCACCACATGCCAGCAGAGGCCATCGAGACACTCTGCCTCTGTCCCCAGTGCCCCACATATTTCCAGCTCACAGATACGTTTTGTTTGGCCTTGCGACAATTTTAAAGCTTGTAAAATAATAAAGTAATATAATTTTAGTAATATTAAAATGACATTAATTAAAATTATGTGAACCCTGAAAATCTGAGACCGGTCTCAGTTAATTTAAAAAGTTTACTTGGCTGGGTGTGGAGGCTCACGCCTGTAATCTCAGCACTTTGGGAGGCTGAGGCGGGCGGATCACAAGGTCAAGAGATCGATCAAGACCATCCTGGCCAACATGGCGAAACCCCGTCTCTACTAAAAATACAAAAATTAGCTGGGCATGGTGGTGTGTGCTGTAATCCCAGGTACTTGGGAGGCTGAGGCAGGAGAATCGCTTGAACCCAGGAGGTGAAGTTTGCAGTGAAACGAGATCGCGCCACTGCACTTCAGCCTGGTGACAGAGGGAGACTCGTCTCAAAAAAAAAAAAAAAAAGTTTACTTATTTTGCCAAGGTTGAGGACATGCCCGTGCACAGCCTCAGGAAGTCCTGACGACATGTGCCCAAGGTGATCAGAGCACAGCTTGGTTTTATACTTTTTAGGGAGACAGGAGACATCAATCAACATATGTAAGAAGTACATTGGTTTGATCTGGAAAAGCAGAACAACTTGAAGCAAAGGCTGAAAGACCCAAAGTGGGGAGGGGCCTTCCAGGTCACAGACAGGTGATACACAAGCAGTTACATTCTTTTGAGTTTCTGATTAGCCTTTCCAACGGAGGCAATCAGATATGCATCTATCTCAGTGAGCAGAAGGGTGACTGAATAGAATGAGAGACAGGTTTGCCCTAAGCAGTTCCCAGCCCGACTTTTCCCTTTAGCTTAGTGATTTGGGGACCCCAAGATTTATTTTCCTTTCACAAATATTATTAAGATAAAATAATAAGAATCCAGACTTTCATCTTACTTTGGAAAAATGGGAGAATCTGACCTTCGGCCTGCCTTCTCACCAAGCAGCACTGCTTGGCGCGGAGCCCAGCCGCCCCCTTCCGCCAGCCCGTGAGCTGCACCTTACCACTGCTCTAGCCATCCTCTCAGCCTTCCTAGGCTGGGCCTGTCTTTCTGGGGGCTCATAGAGCATCTGCGTTAGGCCCTAGGAGTGTTTGCAGCGGGAGCCTCCAGGGGAGGTGGCTTGCGCCCCACACTGTCCTAAGTCCAGGAAGGGACAGCCCCCAGAGCACGGCTGGGTGGGACTGTCGGCAACCCAAGTGGATTAACTCCCTGACTCAGAACTCGGGGTGTTTGTGTGTGTTTTAAGCAGAAGGAGGCAGAGTAGGAAGGGTTTGGAGAGAAAGGTCAGCTGAAATCAAGACATGCACACACCTCGGATTCTTCAGAAATGGATGCAGCTTGAAACGTCTCACATTCCAAATTCTGGCAGCCAAGTGAGCGGTTTCCTACTTCTGTTCATAACGCCCCCTTGAAGAGATCCTGTGTGGCTGCCAGCTGCCAGATAGACTTCAAGCTAAACAGGACAGAATCCCTAATCCACTTCACTGTTCTCAGACATGATCCTTGATGACTCCTCTGGCACTCCTGACTTGCATTTTAGGGTCATCCTTTTCTTTCCTAATCGGATATCTGGTTGCAGGGTTCGGTGGATGAGAGAGCCAAGCGGTGCCACTGGGACACATAGGGGCCACGCTCACACTTCAGCCCTGGGGATGTGCTCACCGGCATACACAACAGGGTGCTCACACACACTGGGGTGCACATGCAGCCGGTGCCCCAGTGAGTGAGCCCAGACACTTCCTACAGCCCCCAAGGAATGTTGGTCTCATTCAGGTGGGGTGGGTTTAGGGCAGCTCTGTATCTTGTCACCAGTGTCTGCACTTCCATTTCTCTGTTTACCATGCCTTGTTCTTTTGATGATAAGAACAGAGCATAGGCAGACCTTGGAATCACCACAGGTCTGCTGTGCGACAGACTAGGCTGCTGGAGGAGCCTCTGGCCACACCACCCACAGTGGCCTCCTCTGCCTCGCTGAGGGGCATCTATGTCAGTTGGGCACCAGGGAAAGTGGGCTAGGGGTGTCAGGGTCAGAGGTACCCAGATGCAGGAGCAAAGACAAGCTAAAGCTGCTGTCTCCCAGAGAGCGGGTGTCCTGGGAACATGCTTGAGAGAAGACAGAGCATCCTTGCATGGTGGCAGAACATTAACCCAGGCCTTGTGGAACCCAGACAAGTGCAAACCAACATCCTACCGCTTCCCCAGCTGCCTCTCCTCCTCCCTTCTGCTCCCCAATCTACCCCTGCATGGCAAGCTCCAGTCTACAAAGTCCATCTCCAAACGCCATCTCATCTTGCGAATGCAGTGCCATCACCTCCATTGCAAGGATGAAGTCATCCAGGACCAGAAGATGCACCTGGCTGGCCAACGTCAAATAATGGATTGACGGAAGGGGCCGGAGTTAACCAGAACAAGATGCCCCAAGCAAGAGCCATGTCTCCATGGACATTGCCGGGCCGGCCTTCTTTCATTTCTCCTCCTTGGAGGCAACACAGGTAGGGAGCCACCCCAGGGCCCTGGCACCACTTCTGTGCCCAGCACTGGGGCTAGGATGATGCACTTGAAGATGAGAGGTCACTCCCTGCCGTGAGCGTCTTAGGGCCTCTAGCCTCATCCCTTCCAAGCTTCTCCATGGATAGAGACCCAACCTGGGATCCTGCTTTCCAGGAAGGTCTGCCTCTTTCTCCCAGTACCCAGGGTCTGGATCCTCACACCCTGGGGTGACAGGGCCCACTTATAAGAAGGAGCTGCCTGTTAGGTGTGGCATGTCCCCACATCTTCAGTACTCTGTAAGTCTCTTTCCCTCCCCTAATTTCATGAGGTGGCCCTAGTGCCACAATCTTGTCTCTTCTACACAGATGCTGTGTAGATGGTGTGAGCCCAGAATTGGGCACAGACATTTTGGGTGGATTCTAGTTTGTGTTGACCTGAAAGCAAGGGGCCAGGAGGGGCATGAGCGTGGCAGGACTCAAGCCAACTCACTCTACCTATGCACAGATGGAAAAAAGGGGACATACCAGAATTCCTCTTGGGACAACACTGTATTTATTTGGAAGAAATAACACCTCTGGGGCTGGGGCATCTCTAGGGCTTGCCCAAGTCATGGAAGTTGGTTGATAAGGCCCTTCCAAGGAGGGCAATCCTCTTAATGCAAGCATTGTGCACTTATGGGAGCCATGATAGATGCGGGAATGATTGTTAAAGCAGAGACCAGAGTGGAACTGAATTGCTCTGCATAATAGAGGGAAGTTCCTCCTCCTGAGGAAGAAGAGGAGGAAGAGGAGGAGGAAGAGAAGGAGGAGGAGAGACAAAGGGGGCTAGTACTGCCTGGAGGGAGTAGGAAACATTCGATGGTACCAAGGGAGTTAGGAAATGCTTACGGGGATCTGAAACGAAGGTGAAGTGTTCAATACACACCCAATTCCCTTCCCCTGCAAAATATGCATTTAGGCTTACATCATTTCTAGATGCTTTGTCCACTTGGTTATTCAGTGCAATGGGTGGGGGAGATCTGAAAGGGTGCTGCCTTTTCAATTTTGGTTGACCTATGGTTAAACCTTGAGATGCTGATGGTAAGCCCTCTGTGTGGTCTGCAGATGAGGCTAAATCCCAGGCCTAGTGTGTGCAGCCGACCTGTGCACTGCATGCTGCCCTGGCCACACCTTGAAGGAAACTCTGTCATCTATCTCCTCTGTGACTTTAGACAACTTCGCTGTCCTCTCTGAGCCTCAGTCTACTCATCTGTAAAATGGGGAGTGCATTAGTTTCCTGCTGCTGCAGTAACAAATAGCCACAAACTTAGTGGCTCCAAACAACACACACCCACTCTCTAATGATTCTGGAGGTCAGAGGTCTGCGGTGGGTCTCACTGGGCTGAAATCAAGTTGTTGACAGGGCTGCATTCCCCCCTGGAAGCTCTGTTTCCTTCCCTTTTTCCCTTCTAGAGGCTGCCTGTACTCCTTGGCTTCTGGCCCCTTCCTCCACATCACCTCATTTCCACTGGCTCGCCTGCCCTGCTTTTTCATATTTAAGGACCTTGTGTCCACCCGGGTCATCCAGAATGATCTGCCTACCTTAAAGTCAGTTGCTTGGCAACCTTAATGCCGCCTGCAAATTTTATCTCCCTTTGCCATGTAAGGTGACATATTCCCAGGTTAGGGAGATCAAGACATGGACATTGCTGAGGGGCTGTATTCTGTTTCCCACAGGGAGGAGAAGTGAACCAACAGCAAAGTGTTTCTCAAACACAAGAGAGAGAGTGCAATGTTAGCTTGGAGAGGGCTGGACTCATCAGGTGATGCTGGGTAGAAAGGAAAAGCAGACTCCATCTACAACGACAGCTGAAGGGAATGACAATATTGTCAGCAGATGCTAGGGCAAGGACACGCCTCGGCAGTAGATAAGCCAGCTGGGACACGGGCTCAGGAAAAGGGGTGGAGGTCCCTGAACTGACTGGGATTTTGGTTAAATTAAAATAGAAAACGGAGACAGATTAATTTGAGCAACAAATTGCATTAAAATGACATGCGCACCTTTGTGGGCTAAAACTCATCCTCACTGCATATAGGTCTTTGGTTTGTGGAAACAAATCTAAGTTTGAAATGTGAACATCTTCTAGCTTATTTTATTTTATTTTGCCTTATATTTTGAGCACAGGCCTGGATTTGGGGGCATTCAGCTTGGGGGTCCAGAGGGCTCATCCTAGAGAAGCTATGGAGAGCCGATCTTCATGGGCCTTTTCTGCTGGGGCCTTGCCTGGGAGCCCCTGGCTCTGAGACAGGGTGGCCCAAGCTGGGCTTGGCGGGAGTGAGGGGGGCACGAGAGGAAGTGGCGGTGGCCACATGCTAGTGGCTGGAAAGAAAGCTCTGACAGCTTGGGCCTTGCTCTTGGCAGGAGGGTCTCAGACCCCCCAGCCCCACCTTGCCCGCCAGAGAACAGTTACTCAAGAGGCAGCAGAAAGCCCTGGGGTGTGCTGAGTTTTGTGTTGGCCGGGCCACTGAGATGATGCAACTCCACTCTGCATTGTGCAATGAGATGAAAGGGCCACCAGGGAGGGCGCACACACAGGGGCTTTGCATCAGCCACACATTGAACTGGGTCACAATCAGTTATACACACAGACAGTCTAAGATTCAGAGGAAAAGGAAGACATAAAACTCACACCCTGAGAGCCCAGGAGAGACCAGTGAAAAGGAGGAGGAGGGGGAGAAGGAAGAGGAG
Organism: Homo sapiens; assembly: GCF_000001405.40. Taxonomy (NCBI): domain Eukaryota; kingdom Metazoa; phylum Chordata; class Mammalia; order Primates; family Hominidae; genus Homo; species Homo sapiens. The sequence goes on along the minus strand of NC_000003.12, from coordinate 126,260,958 downwards.
GGAGGGAGGAGGGGGAGAAGGGAGAGGAGAGGAGGGGGAGAAGAAAGAAGGGGAAGTAGGGGGAGGAAGAGGGGAAGGGGGAAGAGATGGGGAGAAAGAAGAGGGAAGGAAGGAGAGGAGAAGGAAGATGAAGAGAGGAAAGAAGGGTGGGGAGGAGGGGGGAGAAGAAGGGGGAAACGGGAGAAGGAGTGGGAGAAGAACAGGGAGGAAGGGAAGAAGAAGGAAGGGGGGATAGAGGAAGGGGAGGCAGGAAGAAAGAGAGGGGTAGGGGAGGAGGAGATGTGGAGAGGAAAGAGGGGGAGGGAGAGGGGGAGAAGAAGGGGAGGAAGAGGAGAGAGGAAGGGGAAGATTACAGGAGGGAGGAGGTTAGGCAGGAGGAGGGGAAGGAGGAGGAGGGGAAGAAGATGGGGGGAGGAGGAGAGGGAAGAGGGAAGGGAGGAGGGAGAGGAGGACAAGGAGGGTTTGGGTTAAGGTTAGGCTTGGATTAGGGTTAGGAGGAGGGAGAGGAGGACAAGGAGGGTTTGGGTTAAGGTTAGTCTTGGATTAGGGTTAGGAGGAGGGAAAGGAGGACAGGGAGGAGGGGAGAAGGAAGAGGGGGAGGGGGAAGAGGTGAAGAGAAAGAAGCGAGGAGGGATGGGGAGGAGGAAGAAAAAGATGTGGAGAGGGAAGGGGCTAGAGGGAGGATGGGGAAGAGGAGGAAGAAGAACAGAGGGGGAAGAGGAAGATGTAGAGAGGGAAGAGGGGGAGGGAGGGGGAAGAGAAGGGAGGAAGGGGAAGAATAGAGGAGGGAGGAGGGAGGTAGGAGAGGAAGAGGAAGGAGATGTGGAGAGGGAAGGGGGAGGGAGAGGAAGAGGTGGAGAGGGGAAGAATGGAGGAGGGAGGAAGAGGGGAAAAGGAGGAGGGGAGGAGGGAGGAGGGAGGAGGGAGATGTGGCACTCATGCTAGGTGCTCTGCCACAACGGATGGAAACCTGGCACCTCCTGCCCCACAGTAGGTCTCCGTCCTGGATCTCCACTGTCACCCTGAGGCTGACGCTAGTGTGTAAAAATAGGTATGGCTCACGCAACAAGGTCCTGAAATTCTCCGCTGAGCTACATAAACAGCGATCCGATCCAAGGGTGGAGGAAAACCCAACAGCGTTGACTTTGCGAGGCCCATCGCTCTCTGTGTGGCAAGTTATTAAGGCGTTTCTAGTGGTTTTGGGTTGTCTGTGCCCCGTCTTAGAACCTGAGCCATGGGGGCACGGCCGTATCCCCCGACCCCATCTGCAAGAGTTTCCAGAAGACCGGGATTGGGGCCATCAGCAGCCCTCCACTGCCCCCCGCTGGTCAGGCTGTGGGGCCCGTGCAGGACCTGAAGGCCATTAGATAGGCACCAGGAGACACCAGTCCCTGGGGTGCTTGGGGGCTGCAAGCTTTGTCCAGTCTTGGAGAAGAGCCCTTTCCCCTCAGCAGATGATGCTGGGACCTGCCACTGTGAGACCAGCCAGGCCGCGCCCTCCCGGGGGCCCCACTTCTTCATGCATAAAGTGGGGCTTTCAGCGAGGAGGTCTTTATGCTCTTCCAGGTCTGACATCTGGAATTCTGAGATTAAGAACAAAAGAAAAACCTTCTCCAACCCAAGTAAAGGATGCACAAATGGCTGAATTTCCCCCTGTGTGGAGTGTGGAGGCACAGGGATTCTCAAAGCCTGTTTCTTTTTGATACCTTTTAATTTCAAAATGTAGATATCTTTGTACATTTTTCTGGTTATTGAAGCAATATGAACAGATGAAACTACCCTCAACTTCCCCAGTACCAAGGAACTAAAACCATAAATTATATTATTGTGTCACTTGCTACTCACCAGACTGGCAAACACAGAAAAGCCCATGGGTTGTTGAGGGCAGAGGAGAGGAGGACCTGGGGCCTTTCACACCAAGGTGCAAGTGGGAGGGGCACACAGACTGGGGGTGGGGGAAGTGTCAGCAGCACCCATCACAGGAAGTGCAGCTGCCTGGCCTCTGAGCATCTGAGCAGTTGTACTTCTGTGAATCTGTCCTGCAGAAGGGCTTGCCTGAGGCCACCACACAGGCCCCACCAGGAGCAAGTATTTTTTCTTAGAGCAAAAAATGGAAAGTGAACTGAGGGAGGGGAGCTGGCTGATGGCGCACATGAGGATAGATGAGTCACACCCACTGTGGCCACACCCTCTGCAAAGTGACTTTGCTGTCCTGCTGAGGAGGCTGGGGATGTGGTTCCCACCCTCCAACAGGTGCTGGCCTGGGACACACAGAATGTACCAGAGTGGCCTTGTGCAAGTCCAGGGCTCGGGCCTGGAGGGGCCCTTCACCCTTTGAGAGCCCTGAGCCCACCGTGCTATAGGAAAGACCAGTCCAGCCTTCAGAGGGCAGGGGTCATGTGGAGAGAAACTAAGGTGCCCCAGTCGACCGCCAGCACCAACTGCCAGACACGCCAGAGAGGCCATCCCAGCCCCACTAGCCCTATTGAGCAGACAGGTGACAGTAGCCATGCGAGTGACTCCTGGATGGACCAGCAGAAGGCCTGCCCCTGCTGGCACCCTACAGATTCATAAGCAATAATAAATCGTTGTTTTTAGTTGCTATGTTTTTGGGCGGTGTGATGGTTAATTTTATGTGTCAACCTGGCTAGACTGTGGTAGCCAATTTTGGGTTAAAGTCAGTCTAGCTGTTGCTGTGAGGATATTTTTTAGATGAGATTAACATTTAAATCAGTAGACTTTAAGTAAACCAGATGACCCTTCAAAATGTGGGTGGGCCTCATCCAATCAGTTGAAGGTCTCAAGAGAAAAGACTGAGGTCCCCTGAAAAGCAAGGAACTCTGCCTGCAGACTGCCCCTAGACTTGAGCTGCAACATCACCTCTTCTATGGGCCCCTGCCTGCCACTCTGCCCTGCAGATTTCACATTTGCCGGCTCTCACAATGACATGAGCCAATTTCTTTAACTTTATGTAGGTACATGTCTATCGATCTATACACACACATATCCACACATACACACACACTCTCTCTCTCTCCACACACACATACCCCTATAGTTCTGTTTCTCTGGAGACCCTAACACAGATGGTTTGTTATACAGCAGAAGCTAGTGAATACAAATGCTACCCAGTCATGAAAAGGAATGAGGTACATATCTATGTGCTACTGTGAAAATAGTTTCGTGATATATGAAGGGGAAAAAAGAGCTACTTGTAGAACAATATGCAAGCCTTACATATGAACCAGTGTGTGTTCATGCTTGTGTGCACACATAGCATATGTTGTGAGTGTGTATACAGCACATAGAAGTGGCTCCAGTAACTCACACTGTACTGTTCCGTGTGGTACCCTGTGAAGGATGGTAGTGATTTTGCCCTGTGACCTGCTGCAGTTTGGAGCTGTTAGACTAAGTATGGATTCTGATGTGATTTTCATGATAAGGCCCCATTGGGAGAGAAGGGTTCTCTCTATGGCTTGTGGGCCGTCAGCTCAGTGTGGGAGTCCAGTGTACAGGTTTGTGTCAGATGCGGGTTCCAAAGTCGTTTGTCACCCGTGACCATGAAGAGGGAGCCCCACGCCCAGCACTCAGCCCTGGTCTGCACTTCAGTCTTTGCATCTCAAATGGGGCAAAGACGCCGGCTCCAAAGGGTGTTGCAGGCCATGTCGTAAAGGGCTGGTAAAGGGCTAGTGCCACTCCGAGAACCCAGCGTGCACACACCACATGGTGTGGCGCTCACTCACTGTCATGAGTTTTCTCCACCACCTCTGATGCTAGGGGAGAGGCAGAGTGACACGTCCACAGTCCATGAGTTAGTTGAAGTCTAGCTTCCCATGGACCACGTGGCAGCTCAGGCCCTGAGAGTTCTTGCTCTTCTGCCTCCTGTTACAGACTGAACTCTTTGTGTCCCCCCAAAACTCATACGTTGAAATCCTTACCTCCAGCATGATGGTGTGAGGAGGGGGCTTTGGGAAGTGTCAGGTCATGAGGGCAGAGCCTTTGGAGTGGGATTCACCATGTGAGGACACAGTGAGAGGGCACTGTCTGCAAACTCGGCCTCTTCAGAGCCCTACTGTGCGGGCACCCTGATCTTGGACTTCCAGCCTCCAGCACTGTGAGGAATCAATGTCTGTTTTTTATAAGCCATCCAGTCTACAGCATTTTGTTACAGTAGTCTCAACAGACTGAGACATGTCCCCATCTGTAGACAGGCAGCGAGGCTGCAGTAGGAGGCTGAAAAGGTGGGAGATGCCAGGAAGGCAACTCCACAGAGATGCACTGCCTACCCCCAAAAACTCCCCCTCCCCATCAGCCAGTTCCCCACCAGCAGGGAGACAGGACTTTACCTCCTCAGCCAGAGCCTTTGAAGGTATCCAGATGCTCTGTTTCCTGGATCCCGTTCCCTGTTCCCTTCTCCTCTGGCCCCAGGCCTCCTCCATCTCCCTGGTGAGCTCATTGGTCCCTCCCCCTACCCGTGGCACTGCTGTCTTTAGTCACTACCATCCTGGCTGTTTACCAAAGCCACTCACCCAACAGTTGCGAAGTTGAACACTGGGGTCAGGAAGGCCACACACATAGCAAAGCATAAGCGTTACAAACTATGGCCCCCATCAGGCAAAGACGATGGACGCCTGGCTGCAGCGTCAGGGACCCAGGAGCAGCAGAGGCAGTGGTGAACAGAGAGCAGGAGCTGGGGCACAGTGGCAGCCACACCTAGCCACTATAGGATGTGGCCACTGGACAGTGGGAGCTGGTGGGCCACATGGGGCTCTTGGTGGGCCCCTCCACACTGCAGGCTTCTGGCATACCATCTTTAGACTAGAGAAGGCCCCCAAGCATTGGCCCTTAGGCCTTCAGAGCACCTTAGAGAGGTTTTTATCATTGTTTTTCTCTTATCTGGTGTCATTATGCCCATGTACAATTAAGGAGTTGGGAGTGCTGCGGCCCGACCTGTGACTTAGAGAAAAGAGATTTTATTCAAACTTTATTCATTGATGTCACTATCACTATCATAAATGTACTTACTTGGTGTCAATACCCACTGGTAAGTAGCAGAACAGTGGGTTTTGTGAGGTGGGAACAAGGACCTCAGGTTATATTTTTTAAAGGTTAGAGTAGAGGGTATGTTCTTATGCTGCAATCTCCTGTTTGCGGAGGGTAGTGGGGGGTGGGGGACAAAAACTGGTCTGTTCTAGGGTCTATCTGTTTCCTTAAAGTCTTAGTTTGATTCCATCACATTTAGCATGAGTGTCTCCATTTTGGTTTGGTCTGGTCTGTTGGGGTCTAGTGCATGAGCTCAGTCCAAAACAATGGTCTCTCATAATGTTGATTAAAAATTACTCCCTTTTGGTCAGGTTCTAACTTAGGTAAGAGTATGATTAAAACTTAGGACCTTAGCACCACTCTCAGTTACCATGATTTGGGGCTTCTGGCCTTAGCATGTCATAGGTTACAGTGCCTTCATGGTCACACATTTCTTTCAGTTCTTGTCATTCTAGTTGAAGAGAGACCATTTGACATTCTAGAGATGGCTGCATGCAAACATTTAAAACTTTTGAAAGAATATAGCACATCAGGGAGGCTACTATTATGATCATCAGAAGGATAACACCAAGAGTTTGGAGTATGCTCCTTAGCCAGGGTCCCCATGAACCTAACCAACTAAAATCAAATAGAGCAAATAATGAGCTATACAAAAAGTCTGCTTGCTTTAACCAAGCAGCCTGTTCATTAATCCCCTACAACTGACTCTCTATAATATCTGATTTATTCCTCCACGGGCAACAAGAAGTGCCAGCAACTACAAAGATACTTCTCTGTTTGGCCGGTAAGAAATCTAGAGCAGTTTTATTACTTAGCATAATTTTCACAAGAGAATTTAAAGTCTGCTGTGTAACCATAGCCTTTACAGTAGAATCTGCTATAGAGCCTATCATGAGGGATACATTTCTAACAATTTCCTAATTTACTTCAAACCATGGAAAAAGGCACCTAACAAATGTTACCCATCTAGAAGAATGAAGACTTCCTGGCAATGTTCTCTTTAACCCATGATGTAGGTTAAGAGGAGTAGACAAATGTTCTGTTTCTGACTATGAGGTAACAAATGTATCATTAAAATTTGTCACCTATGTTGGGCCTTCGTCATCCATCTATCGAGGCATAGGCTGTTGATGTACAAAGCTGGCACAAAATCCCTTGCAAATAAAAGTATACCCCATGAATGCACACAATAGACCTCCTTTCCACTTCTATTGTTTACAGAAGCATAAGGAAGGAAAAAATAGATAGATAAGAGTCTCATGATAGCAGAGAAATCTTGATCCCTGATCGTGGGACAAAGCTGTCCATGTCAAGGATGCTGTCTTCTTATGGGGAGAAACATCCCTGGTTAGCTTTACCGTAAGGTTTCCAATGGGTGTACAGTTCCAAGAGTGTGGAGAGACCTTTCTGAGTTGTGAGATTACAAACCCAAGGTTCAAGGTCACCAAATTTTGTTGCAGTATATATGGCAAGGGCAGTCTTTCTTTAATGTTCTCAGAAGATCCAACTTTCAAGCTCTAGGCTATGAAGGGGTTGGTTGTCTTCAGTCAGTGGACTATAAAAAATATTCTTTACCTGTGAACATATACTTAGGCATAATGAGCCGCTGTTATAACAACAGCCCTCTTGCATGAGAAAGCTTTTATACAACCAGAAAACGTGCATTGAAAATGACAATTAAATGAAATCCCTCTATAAATGTTTACATGGCCTGTCAGGTAGTGAAAATGTACTTGAAGTTTTGATTGTCCTCCCAGGAATATGGATTTGACAAACTAAACATTGGTCATAAACTATTTTAGCAATTTAGAACAGTCACCATATAGATATATTTAATTTGGATCATTTTATCTCTTCCATGATGATTCATGGAATGCAGAGCTTTTAATATGGAAAGTTTGAAGGACTCAGGAAGGACAAGGAGGCTATCTGGGTTCTCCATGAGTCCACGTTTAACACTGGACTTATGTCCTCTTAAATACCATTTTTTCTCCTATTTAGGTGCATAGTACTGATAACTGATGGGTTATCATAGGGAATTTGACTTGGACCATAGAGTTTATTCAAATAGTATATCCAAACAATTTTAGTACTGGCTGATTTAACATGAAAATCTGGCAAAGTATTTTCTTGGTATTCAATTAATTTTTGTCCTGCTTGGGTTAGTAGTTTTACAAACCAGTTGTGTCATCATTTGCTCAAATCAAGGAAAAAAAATGGTGCTCACATAAAAGTTCAGTCAAGACAAGATGGCCAGAAAAGCACCTTAGACAAAAGTACGATTTATTATGTAAATTTAAAACAGTGGTAAAATTTCCAATGTACATAGGCAGACATCCTTAAAAATGGAGATTCCTTAATAGGTGTACATTTCTTTTACAAAAGGGTTTCAGGTTAGCCAATCATATTCCAGAAAGGTGTATTTTAGTTAAATAGGTGTTCCGTTTAACTTAGCTACTGTTTCTTGGCTAAAATTACTGGGTTCACAGTGGACTCCATTAAGGAATAGGGCAGAGAAAGCATCCTTTATGCCTGGACTCAGCAGGGAGAGATCTGAAAAAGAAGCCTTTCCTTTTATAAACGCTTTAGGCTAGCTTTCTTTCTGCTATTAGGGCAGGATGATGACAAAACTAAAAGGTCAGCAGATTCAATTTTTCTTATCAATCAGTCACTTAAGCTTTTTATTTGCCTTTTATAAAAAGCCTTTTAAAATATTAAAGTCTCTTTAGAACTTCTGCATATCACTAGGCATCCCTAGATGAGACTAATTTGAAAGCCCTCATTTTCAAATGCACTTCTTCAAGTGCAGAGTTGTTCGTTTGGATCATTCTACTGTAACTTATCTTTAGTAAAATTTCATAATTTCTGTAAGTCTTTGTTGCTTCCAGGGCCTAATACTTACCCATCGATAAACCAGAAGGTACTGAGTTCTTCAGAAATTAAGGATCTCATTTTTACCTCAAATATTGGCTTTGGCTCTCAGGCCCCCTTGATCAACTTAGCCAGTGATTTTTCGTTCCCAAAGCATGCAAGAAGAAAGAAACAAAGGAGGTAGAACACAAAAATCCCTGTCAATTTCCCAAAGCCAAAGTTTACACCTCCTACAGCATTGCCTTTTACTACTGGTTTCTTTCTGACCCAGTTAGAGGTCTCTTATAAACCTCTAACTAGATCCAAGCCAGTTAATTATTGAATCCAATCCAATTCTGAATCCAGTTCAGTTTCTGTCATGCCTTCCAAACACAGTTTGGATCATAAATTAGCTCAAAGAAACTTGAAGAGCTCAGAACACAAATCCATGGAGCTTTGGAATCCTGGAGAGAACTTACCAGGATCCCCAGTCACTGCCAGAGAACAATGAACACAATGGGCCTGGCGGGAACCTTGCTTGGCCACTTGGTGCTCCTGGAGGTCACCAAAAGCTCTACTTTGGATCTCACTTCTGACATCATCTGTTAAAAGGGAAACCTTAGCCAAATTAAATTTTATAGAGTTTAATTGACCAAAGAATTATTCATGAATCAGGCAGCCTTCCAAGTAGGCTCAGAGACTCCAGTGAAGCCAAGAGATAGAAGATGATTGAAGGACAGAAAAAGGAAAATGATATATAGAAAACGGAAATGAGGTACAGAAACAGCGGGACTGGTATAGCTTGGCATTTGCCTTATTTGAACACTGTCTGAACAGTTGGCCTTCTTTGGTTGGCCAAAACTCAGTGATTGGCACAAAAGTGGACTATAGTCTATCTACACCTCCATTTAGGTTATAATTTGTCATGTACAGATAAACCTTTAGGCTGAACTTAAAATATGTAAGGAAGTGGCTTTAGGCTAAACTTGATTTACCAATGCCCTGCCTGGGTATCCTTTACCAAGATATACAAGAGAATATTGTACTTTCTGAATGGGGAACTCTACTAGCCACCATCTTGAGTGTCCACACTTAGTAGCATTATTGATAGTGCGGCAACTTTTACACTGAACTCAGTTAAGCCCCAACACCTAATTTTCAGTTTACGAGAGAAGGGGAGGTTGGGAGGGCATATAGGAACAAGTTAAATAACCTCATTAAAGAAAGGTCAGTCAAGTCAGAATGTGAAACATTTTACAAGAAAACTGATGTGGACTTTTAAAGAAGTCAATGCCATTAAAAACTTGTTTTTTGTTTTTTGTTTTTTTAAGAAAAGCAAGGCAACTATTCTAGACTAACAGAGACCAAAAGGCCTAATAGCCAAATGCTTTGTGTGAACACAGACTAGATCCTGCTTTAAGAAAAAGCTATAAAAGACATTCTTAGGATAACTGAAGAAATTTAAATAAGAATGGGATAGTAGATATATGGAATTATTGTTAATTTTATTGGATGTGACAATGACATTGTATCTTGTAGGAGCTGATCTTTATTCTCAGAAGATGCAGACTTAAGTATTTAAGAGCAAAGCACCATGATGTCCGCAATTTACAACCAAATTGTAAAGCATAGATAGATAGAGAATAAATATGACAATACTTTGACAATTTTATTGAGGTAGGCGATACACAGATATACAGGGATTTGATGTATTCTTTTAACTTTTCTGTTGGTTTGAAATTTTTCATAATAAAATGTTAGGAAATGTATTTAAAATGGAATTTGTCTGTAAAAAAGAATAAGAATCAAATGCTGTAAAATATTTGAATATATTTATTCTGAGCCAAATCTGAGTGACCATGGCCCATGAGGCAGCCCTCAGGAGACCCTGAGAACATGTGCCCATGGGGGTTGGGCCACAACTAGTTTTTATACATTTTAGGGGGATATAAGACATCAATCTATACATGTATGATGTACATTGGTTCTGTGTGGAAAGGTGGGACAACTGGAAGTGGGCAGGAGGTTTAAGGTTATAGGCAGATTCAAATATTATCTGATTGACAACTGGTTGAAAGAGTTTATCCAAAGACCTGGAATCAATAGAAAGGTATTGTGGAGAACAAGTTTCTTATTATGCAGATGAGGCCTCCAAGTAGCAGGCTTCAGAGAAAATAGATTGTACATGTTTCTTACAGATTTAAAAAGATGTCAGACTCTTAGTTGATTGTCTCCTAGATCAGGAAAAAGGCCCAGAGAAGGGAAAGGGGATTCTGTACAGAATGTAGATTTTTCCCCACAAGAGGCAACTTTGCAGGGCAATTTCAAGATATGGCAAATAAACATATTTGGGGTTAAAATATTTTTATTTCCTTCTTTATCTGTCATGTGATGTTATGCCAGAGTCGGGTTGGAAAGTAAGCCGTGTTATAGGGGGTTAACTAAATCCCCTCGGATGAGGCTTTATTGTTTGTGGGGCATGACTCCCCAAGCCCCTTAGATAGGAATTTGGGCAAGACAAGGAAAAATGTCTGCGTTTATCCTCAAATTACTCTATATACATACTGTTATGCCACCTGATTTTTTTAAACTTATCAACATGTGGAGTGTGTGTTTCCATGTCAGTGCATACCTTGTCCTCTTTATCCATTGTACAAACGTCAACAGGAGGGTTTGAATTTCAAAATCCCTACTGGAGATTTCTAATTGTTTCTCTGCAACAAACTGTTTTGCCCTAAGGTAAATAAAGAAAGAGAAAGGGAGGGCCAAAGATTCTTTAAAAGGTTGATTATTCTTTCACCTAGTTGCATTTAAAAGAACAAAATGAAGAAAATAAGGAGGAGGAAAGAAAAGACTTTCCACCCCACCCACTGCCGCCCCCACAGACAATGTGGCATGTCTGAGCATCCTTCTTGGGCTGGCCCGAGGTTAATGAATAAGTGGTGAATTTTGAGTTGACATGATCATTGACACTGTGGCCCTCAAGGGGCTTGTGCAAGGCTTCCCGTGTGCACTTTGATGCCTGTGATGACAGGAGCCTGGACCGTGAACAGCTGCAGCTTCAGCCTGAACCTATGCTGACACCGTCCTCCATCCTCCAGGATGCTTCTTTGAAAACTGGTTTCATTTCCATGTGAAAGAGTATATATGTGCACATTTATAATTTTTCATACATGTGTAATTGCAAGCATATTATATATAATTATTTTTACTTCCTCTATTTTTAATTTTTTTCTGGATTTCCCCCACTCCTTCCCCCATTTCAACCCTACTTTATCCATTGCAGTTCCTCAAGAATCCATGATAACCAAGTTTCCATGAGCATGATAATATTTTCATCAATGCTCAAATAATAACAGAGCTAGAGCCATTCATATATATATATGTATATGCATATATGCAGTTTCCTTATCATTGCTCATTTTTTCAAAAATGGAATCATATTGCATATACTTCTCAAAATCTTGCTGCTGACTCAACAATACTTTGTGGAAACTCTTCCAGGGCAACTGGTCACTCCTGCTCTAATTCAGAATGTATAATTTCCATTGTGTGGCTATACTGTATATTTTTCAACCATTCTTCCACTGATAGACAATTCTGGGTTGGTTTATTTATTTATTTATTTAGGTCAAATGAGTGATGTTACAATAAAGATTATCTATATCTACATCCATAGCTATACAACCTCTGATTGTGGCAGATGCTTAACAGATATTGCTCAATTGCTTTCTAAAGATGTTCACCCAGCACACCTCCACCAGCAACGTCTGATTGCATTATTCTCCTTGCATTGAACTGTTTATGAATGTAAAATAAAATCTTGTTCATTTCATTTTCTTGTCAACTAATACATCTAACCATCTTTTTGTATGTTTGGTGGCCATTTGGATTTGCTCATCTGTAAATTTTCTTTTCATATTCTTTACGCATTCTGCTATGGGATTGTTCAGACTTACCACTTTGTGAAAAACACCATATCTCTTACAGATATGGCTTCATTTTCTGTAATATAAACCTAGCATTTATCTGCTGACTTTATGTAATTTTTCACTCTACAGGAAATGATTTTCATCTTAAAAATATTTTATAATATTGATACAGGCAGGAGACAGGGAAATACTGGGCGGCAGAAGGCAACTCCCTGGCAAGGGCCCCGCCCTCAAGCCTGGAAACCCGAGGCCCTAAATTGGAACAGGCAGTCCTGTTTTTGGCCCAAAAGTTGCCTTTCAGACTGCCGTGCCCGTCTATTTTGTACCCATATAAACCGCAAATCCTGGGCTCCAAGAGCAGATGAACAGAAGAGCAGAAGAGTAGCAGAACTGAGAGGCAGATAAGTGGGGAGCAACTTGAGGAGGAGCAGTCTGGGGAGGAGGGAAGAAGTCAAACGGGTTGGTAGAAAAGGAAGATTCAAGACTCAGCAATGCTTGGGGTTGAGAGTGAAGGGACAGGTGGGAGGGAAAGAAGGAAGATTTGGGATGAGTCGCACTGGGAACAGAGATTAGGGAGGGAACAAAGTGTGAAAAATGCCCGGATGTAAGGCCCCTCATACCGTTTGCCCATTTTTTGACAAAAATTATCTAGGTTTTGTAGGATGGAGAAATCGAAAATGCTGTTTTCTGGCCATTTAGAGCCATTATCAAGTTTGTATTGGGGCCAAGCAGTGTTGCAGAAGAAAATAAGACACTTAGGTTTTAGGTCAGGTGAGAGTTGAAGAGGTTTTAAGTTTTTTAGAACACAGGCTAAAGGAGGAGAAGGAGGAATGGAGGGTGGAAGGTTGCCCATAGTAAAAAGGTAAGTTTAGAGAAAAGAGAGGGTAGAGACACGGGGTTGGGCGGGGGGGTGGTACTTGCCACCCAGGGGAGGTGGTACTTGCCGCCAAGGTGAAGGATCATGGCAGGCATCCCCGTGGTGATCAGACACCTCTGAAATATGGGTGAATAATCAGGCAGGCATCCCCGCAGTGATTAGACACCAAGGGAAGACTGTCTTCCCGAGTCCATGACTGGCACTGGAGTTTTGAGTTCACGGATAAAATGTGTCTCCTCTGTCTCTACCAGAAAGGGAAAGGAACTGAAATTAAGGAAGGGAGAGATTGAAGGGTGGAGGGATAGCAAGAAAGCTTGGAGAAGAGAATAAAAAGAGGCCACTTACCTGATTTAAAATTGGTGAGATGTTCCTTGGGCTGGTCTGAGGATCCGACGTCATAGGTGGATCTCCTCACGGAGAGAGGGCAAGGACAGGGGATTGATCTCCCGAGGGAGATCCCCTGTCCCAGGTTTTTCAGCACCAAATGTTACAAGAGTCCATGTGAAGAGACCACCAAACAGGCTTTGTGTGAGCAATAAAACTTTTTAATCACCTGGGTGCAGGCAGACTGAGTCTGAAAAAGAAGTCAGCAAAGGGAGATAGGGGTGGGACAGTTTTATATGATTTGGGTAGGTAGTGGAAAATTACAGTTAAAGGTGGTTATCTCTTGTGGGCAGGGACGGGGCTCACAAGGTGCAGGGTGGGGAGATCATGAGACTCGTTGCCCAGGAGAAGGAATGTCACAAGGCCAATTGATCAGTTAGGGTGGGGCAGGAACAAATCACAATGGTGGATTGTCATCAGTTAAGGCAGGAACTGGCTATTTTCACTTCTTTTGTGGTTCTTCAGTTGCTTCAGGCCGTCTGGATGTATACGTGCAGGTCACAGGGGATCTGATGGCTTAGCTTGGGCTCAGAGGCCTGACAGACAGCAGAGCTAAAAGAGCACTGGAGCACACACACTGGGGCTTCAGGAGTCACAGACACACACCCCTAGATGCCACCATGGGGTTGAAGCCCAAAAGCGCTGGCCCTGGCACCTGCGCTTGCCCATCTGCATGCTCCCCCTCCCATAAGGTGTTTCAGCAGTGGTGGAGGCTGAACAGACTAGCCACACTCCTGTCACATGTCCTGTGAGGGGGTCAGAGAACTCTCCCATTTCATCTGGAGTCTCACCTGGGATCCACAAGGGTGAACACAGATGTGGAGCTGTCATGCCTCCCTTTCCTGCAAGTAAAAAAAATATTGGCTGTTTCCCTTCATGGAGATCTAGCTGTTGCCGGGGACTGGAGTAAAACCCTGGGGCAACTGAAGGCATCTTTTGTTGCTGGAAAGCCCAAAGACTGAACTCCGTTGGCCAAGACAGGCGGACTTAACTGTGGTATCTCTTCTCCTTTCACGGTTTGAAGTGGCTCTATCTCTTCCTTTGTAACGTTAAGGGTTTTGCTACAGACTGCAGCAATGATGTTAAACAGAATGAGCATTTGGCCTAGCCATCAGAGGTGCAATTCAGAACAATGTGGCTTCCGTTTGGTGAGACACCAAACCCCACCTCAATGGCCTCAGGGTCACGGCACAGTGGCTTCCCTTCTTACCCCCTCCCCTCCCATCTCCAGCGGCTGGGCATGTCCATAGCATACACAAGGTGCACTCAATGTCCATGAGAGGTGGGAGAAAACTACGCCTGCCGCTGGAACACTGCACGGCCAGCTGGCTGGCTGGCGCCCCCTGCTCGCTGTTGCTGTGTCAGCAGAGCCTTTCCCCCAGTGGCTGAAGGATCCTCACTGGTCTGAACTGGGGGAAAGACACAATAATTAAAGGAATCCATTTTCACAAAGCAAGAGGTTCTTCCCCCAGGACCCCCCCCACCCCCCATCTTTTGCCCCTTAAGCTTTTTTTTTTCCTCCTTTTCTGGCAAAAGGATTCTTTTCCAGCCCTAGCCCTCTGCTTATGCTAGGAAAAACAACGAGGAAGCGACCCCTGCTGGCTGATAACTGCAAATCTGGCAAGGCCCTTTTGAGACAATCTAAACAGATACACGCAGGCCCCTGAAATACTTTCTTCTTCTTCTTCTTTTTTTTTTTTTTTTTTTTTGGTCTCAAACTCAGTTCCAAGCTTCAGGCTGAGGCCCTAGAAAGGAAAACCAGATCTGAGGGATCCAAAGCCAGGCAACAGGCACAATGTAAATGGGCAGGGGCAAATTCCTGTTGACTAAAGCCCTGCTTCATGGAAGGAGGCCATGGTCCAGGGCATAGATGCGACCCAAGGAACCCAAAGGTTGCTGACAGTAGCGGGGATAGAGACGTAGATGAGGATGGATAATTCCTGTTCTCTAGGCCCTCCCTGCTTCACAGGTGCAGGCCACAATAGCATCCATGGGTGGCATCTGTCTAAGGTTGCCAGAACTCAGGGATAAGAAGACAGAAGGGAAAGCGGGGATGCCCTGCTTTCTCTCCATCACATCCTAAGTTTTCATTGGAAGAAAAAAGGGAAATGAGGGATGCCTCTATTTCCCTGTCTTTCAGAATAGGCAACCAGCTCTTTTTACCACCCCCAGCTTATACTCCTCTGGAGTGCATCCTCAACCACTGGGACTGCTTTGACCCTCAGAGTCTGGAAGAAAAATGCCTCATAGCCCTCTGCACAAAGGTTTGGCCAAATTGTGAAGGATGGCTTGGCTTCAGGAAGGAACAATTCATTTCAATACCATCCAGCAGCTGGATCTTTTCTGTAGATATGAGGACAGATGGTCTGAGGCCCCATATGTGCAGGCTTTCTTTACCTTGCAGGGTAATCCAGACATTTGCCGACACTGTAGGATTGATCCAGACCTCCTGTTTGCCATCTCAGGAGAGGCTGCAAGAAACAATCCCAGGTAACTAAAGAAACGAATCCCAGAGGCACCCCCAGCAGAGGAGCCAGCTCCCTCCAACCCTGCTCCTCTGGGTCCACCCTGATCTCCCTATCCAGCTTCAGTCTCTCACTTACCCAGTCCTAGAAATCCTCACCCCAGACAAGCCCCAGTCTCACTCTTGCCCCTCCAACAGATGCCTGGTGAATTTGGCCCCAGTAAGGTCCAAGTCCCCTTCTCTCTACAGAACTTAAGTCAATTAAGGAGGATCTTGGCAAGTTTTCAGATAACCCTGACAGATATATAGAGGCTTTCCACAATTTCACCCAAATATTTGAACTCTCCTGGAGAGACATGTGTTACTTTAGAATCAGATCCTGATGGACACTGAGAAGCAGGCTGCTCTGCAAGCCGCAGAGAGATTTGGGGATGAGCTTTGTATCACATATAGCTCAGCGAAGGGGACGACATTTATCCAACTGGAAGAGAAGCAGCACCAGTGACTGACCCTGGTTGGGCTCCCAGTGATGAGATGGAGGCTGGAAGAGGAGATACTTTCAGGTGTGCATAATGGAGGGCTTACATAGGACTAGGACCAAGCCTTTCAATTATAGCAAACTATCCATGATAGACCATGGATTTAATGAAAATCCCACTGCCTTCTTGGAGAAGCTAATAGGGCCTTAGTTAAGGCATACCTCTCTATCTCCTGATTCCATCGAGGGACAACTAATCCCAAAGGAGACACTTATTACTCAAGCAGCCCCTGATATTAGGAGGAAGTTGCAGAAACTGGCCCTGGGACCAGATAGTACTTTAGAGGACCTCCTGAAAGTTGCCACCTCGGTTTTTTACAATGGAGGTAGGGAGACACAGGAAAGAGACAGAAGCTTTAATGGACACCATGCAAGCCCACAAACCCCATAATTCCCAAGGTGCACCTGTTAACTGCTACAGACGTGGTGAGAACAGTTAGCTCTCTCATAAAGTTTAACTGCTCCCTTACAAGGTTTAATTTCTTTCACCAGGGTGAGACAGATTGGGGTACAATGTTGTTAGTATATTTCACTTCTTATTTCTGTAATCTTTGGCACTAGATTTTCTCCTTGTATAACACACATGTTTAACCCATGTATACTTAACCTTATGAAACTTGTTTTTATCCTCTCTCACCTAAAGGCAATCAAAACTCCAAATGGTCAGGCAACCGAAGCCTCGGACAATGGCTTCCTTTTGCTGGGGACCCTTACATAGACCTCTGGAAGGACTCAGACTGTCATTTTCTCCAAACAATGCCCCTTGTCAGCAGGAAGTAGCTAAGACTGGTCGTCGTCCATATTCTAAGGGCAGTTAGATATGCCTCTTGAGAGGGGGGGAGGTGATATGGACAGGCGACAGGGAAATACTGGGTAGAAGAGGGCGGCTCCCCAGCAAAGGCCCTACCCTCAAGCCTAGAAACCCGAGGCCCTAAATGGGAACAGGCAGCCCTGTTTTCATGCCCAAAAGTTGCCTTTTGGCCTGCCATGTCCCCCTATCTGGTATCCATATAAACCCTAAACTCTGGACTCCAAGAGCAGATGAAAAGAAGAGCAGAAAAGTGGCAGAACAGTGAGGCAGAGAAGGAGAGAAGAGAAGGAGCATCTGAACATCTAGAGTTCAGCTGGGGACTGTCAGAGAGAAGATCAGCCACTGGACGGCCAAACTCCAGGGGAAGATCATCTTCCCACTTCATCCCCTCTCCAGCTTCCTATCCATCCCACTGAGAGCCACCTCCATCACCCAGTAAAATCCCCACATTCACCATCCTTCAAGTCCATGTGTGACCTGATTCTTCCTAGATGCTGGACAAGGACCTGGGTACCAAGAAGGCACTGAGCTGGTTAACACTTAAGCTGTCTGCAGACAGTAGGGCTAAAAGAGCACTGTACCATGCCCACTGGGGCTTTGAGAGTCACTCCACATGTCTAGGCAAACATCCCTAGATGCCACTGTGGGTCTTAAGCCCAAAAGCACTCACCCTGGCTCCTGCACCTGCCCATCTGCATGCTCCCCCTCCTGTAAGGGGTCTGAGTAGTGGCAGCGGCTGAACAGATGAGCCACACCCCTGTTGTACATCCTGCAAGTGGGTCAGGGAACTCTTTCATTCTGGTATTTTTCTTTTAAAAAAAAATTAACCTCTTGGTTTCCAGTATTAATTAATAAGTTCTTTCTTGCCCTCTAGGGTGGTCATGTAATCTTATAGATTTTTTCTTGCAGTATTTCCATTATTTTGCTTCTTAAGTTTAAGTCATTAGTATATTTGGAATTTAATTTTGTATATGGTATAAGATGAGAGTCCAATGTAATTGTTTTGCAAATGGACAGCTGGTTGTGCCAGTACCGTTCATTAAACAATTTCCCATTTTCCCACAAAATTGAACAACGATCTCTGTCATATGTGAAAATTCTACGTCTGTGTATACACACATACACATATATATGTATGTATATTAGGATCTTACTTGCTGTTTCATTGACCCATTTGTCTCTTCCTACATTAAGGCCATATTGTCTCAATGACTACGGTTTTACCCTATGCCTTTGTTCCTAGTTAGGCAAATCTTCTCATTGTTATTGATCTATTTTATAACTTTCATTTGCCATCCTTGGTATCTGTTTTTCCCCATAAACTTTAAGATCATCTTAACCAATGGAGAGAAAAATGTTGTTGGGATTCTTGCTAGAATTGCACTGATTTTTAATATTAATTTTAGAACAATTGGCATTTTGATGCTATTCAGTTTTCCCATTCAAGATTATGGTTGTTTTCTATTAGTTCGGTTCTTGCTTTATGCCTTTCAATAAGGTTTATTAATTTTCTTTATAGTTTCTATACTTTTCTTATAAGTACATTCCTAAATTTTTGAAACTTTTTAAGAAAAAGAGTAGTTTTATTTAATATCACATTCATCCATCTTAAATGTTCTTATTCCACCCAGAAGATTTTTATAACAAGTTTATTGAGGCATAATTTACCTACTAAAAAATGTACTCATTTAAAATGTACAACTTATAACTTTCAGTAAATTTACAGAGTTACACAAACATCACTCCAATCCAGTTTGCATTTCCTCATTCCCAACTCCAGTCTAGACAAGCACTGATTTGCTCTCTGTCTCTACGGTGTTGCCTCCTTAATAGGTTATTGGTTTTCTATATATAATTGTATCATTCTGAGCAGAGGTTATTTTATCTCTGCCTCCAATATTTATTAGTCCATTTTCATGCTGCTGATAAAGACATACCCAAGACTGGGAAATTTACAAAAGAAATAGGTTTAATGGACTCACAGTTCCACATGGCTGGGGAGGTCTCACAATCATGGCAGATGGTGAAAGGCATATCTCACATGGCGACAGACAAGAGAAGAATGAGAACCCAGTGAAAGGGGTTTCCCCTTATAAAACCATCAGCTCTCATGAGACTTATTCACTACCATGAGAACAGAATGGGGGAAACCACCCCATGATTCCATTATCTCCCTCTGGGTCCCTCCCACAACACGTGGGAATTATGAGAGCTATAATTCAAGATGAGATTTGGGTGGGGACAGAGCCAAACCATATCACAATGCTTATAGAAATTATTCCATGTTCTTATTTCATTGCATTCACTACAACTTCCAAGACAATGTTGAATAATGGTGAGAATGAGTATCCCTCTGTAGTTAATGGTTTAATTAAAATGATGTTAGTGTTTTGTAGTTCAAAATAATACTTGCTGTTAATTTTGGTGGACCATCTTTATTAAGTAGTTTTCCTTGGTTCCTGGAGTTTTTATTAAGAACAACTGATAAATTTGGTTAACTGCATTTTCAGCTTGTGCTAATAAAATAATGCTTTTATTTCTTAGGTTTTCCTGATATTAAGCCACTTTTTCATTGTTGGAATAAACCCTGCTTGATAGTGTACCATTTTTTGAAACATTACTGATTTGTTTCACTAATGTTTTATTTAGAATTTTTACATCTATATTCAGAAGTAAAATTGGTGTATAGATTTCTTATATTTCTTTTATACAATTTGGGTGTTAGAGCTGCTGACTTGTTATAATGAATAGGAAAATTTTCCCTTTTTATGTAGGTTGACATAGTTTAAATAGCACCAGAATGATTTGTTTATTGATCCTACCTGGCTCTGGTGCCTTATTCAAGGGGAGATTTCCTATCACATTCTCAGTCTCTTCTATGGTGGTTTTCTATTCAACATTTCCACTTCATTTGTATGAAGTTTTATAATTTATTTTTTTCTAGGAAATCATTCATTTCATCTAGATTTTGAAATTTGTGCCATGGGTGTATATTTAGCTTTCACCTATAATTATTTTTCTCTCTCCTGTGACTATCTTCTCTTATTTTTATTTCTATTTTATGTTTTAATAATTTTATCTTTAAATTAAATTTTTTTGTAGCGATAAGGTCTCACGATGTTACCCAGGTGTTCTCAAACTCCTGGCCTCAAGTGATTCTCCCACCTTGGCCTCCAAAAGTGCTAGGATCACAGGCATGAGCCACCATGCCTGGCCTCATCTTTTATTTTTACCAATTCTCTCTTCCTTATTTCTTCTGTTTTCTGGAGTTTACAGCTGAGTCCTTCCTTACTTCCTTCATTTTCTGATGTTGTTATGAAGTGCTCCCCTTTGGGTTGCTTTTCTTTTAGTCTGCACTCTTTATTCTGACCACCCCCATGATTCAAGTTCAGCTGGGAGCACGTTTTTTAACATATATATATATATATAACTTTTGGTCCTATTTTTATTAGCTGTTTCTAATATTATTGAATCCTGATCAACAAAATTTCTTTTTATTTTTGGACACAAGGATTTCATGGTAAATTCCTTTAAATGTTTAAGGGATATAGAAAAAGTACATTCTCCCTTCTAGAGATGTAAGATTATTTATCTATATAAATAGACACACAAGGATGCAACACACACATATGTATGTATAATCACATTTGATTCCTCTTTTTATTTAAAAAATTGAGATGAAATTCATATAGCATAAAATTCAACATTTTATACAGTGTACAATTCAATGGCATTTAGTATGTTTAGTACAAGTTTCAAAACATTTTCATCATCCCTAATAAAACCATGTACCTGTGAGCAGTCACTTCTCAGCTGCTCCACACTCCCAGCACCTGGCCAAAACCCATTTGCTTTCTGTCTCTATAGATTTGAATATTCTACCTGATATGGTTTGGCTGTGTCCCCACCCATATCTCATCTTGAATTGTCGTTCCCATAATACCCACATGTCCTGGGAGGGACCAGGTGAAAATACTTGAATCATGGGGGAGGTTTCCCTCATCCTGTTCTTATCCTAGTGAATTAGTTCTCGTGAGAGCTGACGGTTTTATAAGGGGTCTTTTCCTGACCTCTGCTCTACATTTCTCCTTGCTGCCATCATGTGAAGGACATTTTTGCTTCCCGTTCCATTATGATTGTAAGTTTCCTGAGGCCTTCCCAGCCCTGCAGAACTGTGAGTCACTTAAACCTCTTTCCTTTATAAATTACCTAGTCTCAGGTATGTCCTCCTAGCAGCATGAGAATGGGCTAATACAGTAAATTGGTACCAGGTAATGGGGTAATGCTGTAAAGATATCTGAAAATATGGAAGCAATTTTGGAACTGGGTAACAGGCAGAGGTTGGAACAGTTTGGAGGACTCAGTAGAAGACCAGAAAAATGTGGGAAACTTTCGAACTTCCTATAGACTTAGAGGGCTCAGAAGACAGGAACGTGTGGGAAAGTTTGGAACTTCTTAGAGACTTGTTGAATGGCTTTAACCAAAATGTTGATAGTGATATGAACAATAAAGTCCAGGCTGAGGTGGTCTCAGATGGAGATGAGGAACTTGTTGGGTACTGGAGTAAAAGTCGCTGATATGGTTTGGCTATGCCCCCACCCAAATCTCATTTTGAATTTTAGCTTCCATAATCCTCATGTGTTGTAGGAGGGACACAGTGGAAGCTAATTGAATCATGAGGGTGGGATTTTCCTATGCTGTTCTCATGGTAGTAAATAAGTCTCACAAGATCTGATGGTTTTAGAAAGGGCAGTTTCCCTGCACATACTCTGTTGCCTGACTCCATGTAAGATGTGACTTTGATCCTCCTTTGCCTTCTGCTATAATTGTGAGGCCTCCCCAGCCATGTGGAACTGTGAGTCAATTAAACCTTTTTTTTGTAAATTACCCAGTCTTGGGTATTTCTTCATAGCAGTATGAAAATGGACTAATCCAGTCACTCTTGATATGCAAAGAGATGGGTGGCATTTTGCCCTGACCTAGAGATCTATGGAACTTTGAACTTGAGAGAGATAATTTAGGGTATCTGGCAGAAGAACTTTCTAAGTGGCAAAGTGTTCAAGAGGAAGCAGAACATAAAAGTTTTAAAAATTTGCAGCCTGATGATGCAGTAGAAAAGAAAAACCAATTTTCCGGGGAGAAATTCAATCTGGCAGCAAAAATTTGCATAATGAGAAGCCAAATGCTAATCACCAAGACAATGGGAAAAATGTCTCCAGGGCATGTCAGAGACCTTCATGGCAGCCCTTCCCATCACAGGCCTGGAGGCCTAAGAGGGAAAAATGGTTTCCTGGGCCAGGTCCAAGGCCACTTGCTGTGTGCAGCCTTGGGAGTTGGTGCCCTGCATCCCAGCTGCTCTAGCCATGGCTAAAAGGGACCAATGTACAGCTCAGGCTGTGGCTTCAGAGGGTGCAAGCTTAAGCCTTTGCAGTTTACATGTGATATTGAATCTGTGGGTGCACAGAAGTCAAAGATTGAGGTTTAAGAACCTCTATGAAGATTTCAGAGCATATATGGAAATGCCTGGATGCCCAGGCAGAAGTTTGCTGCAGGGGTATAGGCCTCATGGAGAACCTCTGCTAGGGGATTGTGGAAGGGAAATGGGGGGTCAGAGCCCCCACACAGAGTCCCCACTGGGGCACTGCCTGGTGGAGCTGTGAAAATGGGGCCACCATCGTCCAGACCCCAGAATGGTAGATCCACTCACAGCTTGCATTGTGCACCTGGAAAAGCCACAGACACTCAATGCCAGCCCATGAAAGCAGCCAAGAGGGGAGCTGTACCCCACAAAGACACAGGGGCAGAGCTGCTCAAGGCCATGGAAGCCCACCTCTT
Organism: Homo sapiens; assembly: GCF_000001405.40. Taxonomy (NCBI): domain Eukaryota; kingdom Metazoa; phylum Chordata; class Mammalia; order Primates; family Hominidae; genus Homo; species Homo sapiens. The sequence continues at coordinate 126,238,224 of NC_000003.12, read as the reverse complement.
GCATCAGCACAACTTGGATGTAAGACATAGAGTCAAAGAAGATCATTTTGAAACTTTAAGGTTTAGTGACTGTCTTATTGGATTTTGGACTTGCATGGAGCCTGCATCCCCTTAGTTTTGGCCAATTCCTCCCATTTGGAATGGGCTTATTTACCCAATGCCCATACCCCCATTCTATCTAGGAAGTAACTAACTTGCTTTTGATTCTGCAGGTTCATAGGTGGAAGGGACTTGCCACGTCTCAGATAAGACTTTGAACTTGGACTTTTGGGTTAATGCTGGAATTAGTTAAGACTTTAGGGAACTGTTGGAAGGGCATGATTGTTTTGAATTGTGAGGACATGAGATTTGGGAGAGGCCGGAGTGGAATTATATGGTTTGGCTCTGTGTCCCTACCCAAATCTCATCTTGAATTGTAGTTCCCATAATCCCCATGTGTCATGGGAGGAGCCAAATGAAGACAACTGAATCACTGGGCAGTTTCTCCCATCTTGTTCTCATGATAGTGCGTTAGCTGTCATGAGATCTGATGGTTTTATAAGGGACTTTCCTATCCTCTTCATTCTGCATTTCTCTCTGCTGCCACTCAGTGAAGAACATGTTTGCTTCCCCTTCTGCCATGATTGTAAGTTTCCTGAGGCTTTCCAAGCCCTGTGGAACTGTGAGTTGATCAAACCTCTTTTCTTTATAAATTACTCAGTCTTGAATATGTCCTTATAGCAGTGTGAGAATGGACTAATATACAACCTATAAATGGAATCATACCATGTGACATTTTGTGTCTGGCTTCTTTCACCTAGCATAATGTTTTTGCTTCTTATCCACCATGTAGCATGTACCAGTATTTCAATCATTTTTAGGCCAAATAATATTCCATTGTATGGCTATACCACAACTTATTTGTCCATTCATCTACTGAGAGAACTCTGGATTGTTTCCACCTTTTGGCTATTGTGTATAGTGCTGCTACAAACACTTGTGTCTATGTATTTGTTCAAGTTTCTGTTTTCAATTGTCTTGGGTATGTACCTAAGGGTGGATTTGATGGGTTATATGATAGTTCCCATTTTAACTTTTTGAAGAACTACCAAACTGTTACCATGGTGATTGAACCATTTTACATTTCTGCCAGCAATGCATAAGGGTTGCAATTTCTCCACATCATCAACACTTGTTACTTTCTGTGTGTGTGCTTTGTTTTCAAGGTAATAGCCATCCTACTATTTATAAAGTAGTATTTCACTGTGGCTTTCACTGGCATTTCACTAATGACTAATGATGTAGAGCATATTTTCATGTGCTTGTTGGTCATTTGCATATCTACTTTTGGGAAATATCTACTCAACTCATTTGCCCATTTAAAAAAAAAGTTGGTTGTTTGCATGCTCATTGTTGACTTATAAGAGTGCTTTATATATTCTGAATATTAGACCCTTATTAGATATATAATTTACAAATATATTTTCCCATTTTATAGGCTTCCTTTTTTCTTTCTTTCTTTTTTTTTTTTTTTTTTTTTTTGAGATGGAGTCTCACTCTGCTACGCAGGCTGGAGTGTAGTGGCATGATCTCTGCTCCCTGCAAGCTCCACCTCCCGGGTTTGCACCATTCTCCTGTCTCAGCCTCCTGAGTAGCTGGGACCACAGGCGCCCGCCACCACATCCAGCTAATTTTTTGTATTTTTAGTAGAGATGGCATTTCACCATGTTAGCCAGGATGGTCTCGATCTCCTGACCTCGTGATGCTCCCACCTCGGCCTTCCAAAGTGCTGGAACTACAGGCATGAGCCACCACGCCCGGCCCCTTTTTTCTTTCTTGATAATGTTTCTTGATGCACAAAATTCTCACTTACTTTTTTGACTATGACATCTGTCCTGTTATTGCAGAAATACGTTGAAGTCTTTTACTCTTCTTGTATGTTTACCAATTTGTATTAGTGAGGATTAAGTTTGGCTCATACAATAGAAAGAAACTAGATTGGATATACATATATAGATCTTGGAGACAGGATATTTCTCTCTTGCCAAGGCTGGAGTGCAGTAGTGTGATCTCAGCTCATTTCAGCCTTGAACTCCCAGGCTCAAGTACTCCTCCCACCTCAGCCCCCTGAGTAGTTGGGACTACAGGCATGGGCCACCATGCCCAGCTAACTTTCACAAATTCTTAATTTTTTAGTAGAGACTGGATCTCACTATGTTGCCGAGGCTTGAAAATATTTTAAATACAGAATATTTAGTACCTTACATTAAAAAATGCTTAGAGATGGGACACCACAGGCTGATGTGGTAGCACCACTAAGTTACAAGAACCAGGCTTCTTGTATCTGTTTGCACCACCATTCTTAGCATGGGTTCACCTGCATTTCTTAAGACAGCTGCTGGAACCATTGTGTCCTATTGAAGAAGGAAGAATGAAGGCAGGCAAAAGGCACATTTCTGAAATAGTGATCTCAAAGAGACCTTTTCAGAAGTTCCAAAAAACACATCTGCTTACATTTTACTAGCCTGGTCCTAGTTGCATGATCATTGTGGCAGAAAAAAAAAAAAAGCCTGAGAAATGTGGTCTGTTAATTGGGCACATTGTAGCCTGCAGCAGAATCAGGCACCTCTCATGAGTAAGAAAGGAAAATTCTATTGGATAAAAAATGGACACAGCTTCCTGGCATTTCTAATAAATTATTTTTATGTACTAAACAGCTATATTTGGTGCATATAGGTTAACTTCTGTTGTATCTTCTTTACAAGTTATGCTTTGTATATTTACAAAATATACATTTTTAACCAGTTGGGAGTTAGGGAAAATGCATTTATATTTATCTGTTTTAGTGCTTTTAATCAATGGTTTGGTTGCTACTGACATTGTTTCCTTTTTACTTGTATTTTCCTTTTTACTTGTATTTGTTTATTATCTCTTTATCTGCCTCTTTATTTGCAATGTTTTCTTACCACTTTGATGAGTGTTTAAACTCTTCCAAAAACAAACTATGTTTTATTTTTTAACTCACTATGGCAGGCTCTGTATTTTTGGGGAGGTTAAAAATGTGGAATACTTCATCTCATTTCAACACGCCAGTGTGCCCCTTCTGAGGGTGAAGCACCGCAGTGTTGCAGGCTTCTTTGATAGGAGATGGGCAAGGTTTGGGTTAGCATTTATTTTTTAAATTGTCTCTTAAAAAAACTTTTTAAAATTGAAAAATAAAAATTGTATGTATTTATGGCACAGGAATTTAGTCAATTTTGGTTTTTTTTTTGGTATGGTGACTTTAATCTTGATTTTATTCTTTCCATCTTGACTTGGTTTTATTTATTTTACATGATTGCTCTTTAAACATATTCTTTATTTTAATTTTCCCATTGTTTATTTAAGGTTCTACATTAGTCTTTTATTCCTACTATTATTTGAGAACTCAATATCAATTTTCCCCACATTGATATGCTAAGAGAGGAGAGAAAATGAAATATTATAATATGCTAAGTTAAAACCACAGAAAGCACTAAAAGAACAAGTGAAAAAAAGAAACAAAAAGCAAGTGAAATGAATAGAAAAAAGCTGCAAATATGTTAGCATTATTCAACTATATCAATAATAACTTTAAATCTAAATGGTCCAGATACACAAATTAAAGGACAAAGACTGTCATATTGGATTAAAAATGAGACCAAACTGTATATTGACTGCAAGAAATCCACTTAAATATAAAGACATAAACAGGTTAAAAGTGAAAGGGTAGAGAAGCAAAAGTGGCACAGTAGAGAACATCAAAATTTGTCCCTCCACAAAAGCAATAAACTAACTGCAAAAACTGCCAAAATCAACTTTTTAGGAATTCTAGAAACTAATCCAAAGCCTAATGTTTAATTAAGAAAAACCAGCTGAATCTCAGTAAAAGAAATTCATGGCATTTTAACTTATCCTGGTTCCATTCCTGGCTTGATGGTGTCCTTGAGACAACAGCTGGCATTCACAGTACAGGTATTTAGTACTGGAGGGAGCACAGCAGAACTTATCTTTAAATAATTGCATTTTTTTTTTTGTTTTGACCTGTATGTTGGCTCCCAAAAGGAAGGGATCAATGGGTTTGCCTTTATTTCTCCTAATTCAGAACATACCAGGGTTTTCAACATTCTATCAGAAACTTTTAAAGGCAAATGTTAAAATCACTCCATCTCACTCAAAGGATAGCAATTAGGAGAAACAATAGACCAATCAATAAGCTTGGGAGGAAAGGCTGAGGAATGAAATGCTTTGGGGGAATAAAGTCTTTGAAAAGCTCCTGGGAGTCAAGAAGTCTATGCACACTCCCAGGATGGTTGACTGCATGCCTAAAAGAGACCTGAGAAAGCCCTAAGATTTAACCTCTGGCTGACTTTCTGACTCTGTGTAAGCAGGAAGTGAAGGCTAAGGCAGAGTTGTAAACTGCCTGGTGGAGGCACAAACACAAAACACAAACAGAGCGCATCTTTAGACTGGGAGATTTTCCTCCCAGGTGTTTAAGGAAATCTCTGCTTAATTACTAGCTGACTATTAAGCTAACAGGAACTGAGACTTCAGTGGCTATACATGACAAAGAATATAGACTTTACAAAACTAGTTCAGAAAAGTTACTAAAGAAGGAAAAAACAAATACAACAAGCAGCAACACTGGAGATAGGGGAAAATCAGAGTTCCAAAACTTCCATATTATAATATTCAAAATGTCTGATGTTCAACAAAGTATTACAAGGCATTGCAAAGAAACAAGAAAGTATGGCCTATATACATTAAAAAAATGAATAGAAACCTGCACTGATGATACCTGGATATTGGGCTTATTAGACAAAGGCAGTACATCAACTATTTAAAATATATTCAAAAAACAAAAAGAAACCACATACAAATAACTAAAGGAAACCAGGAAAACAGTGTTTCACCACATAGAGATTATCAATAAAGACATAGAAATCATATAAAGACACCAAATAGAAATACTGAAGTTGAAAAGTCCAATAACTGAAATAAAAATTTATTAGAGGGGTCCAATAACAAGTTTAGTTTCTAACATTGACTGCAAATATTAGAAAATTAGAAAGATCTCAAAATTAAACATCTAAGCTTTAATGTTGGGAAAGAAAAAGAAGAACAAATTAAATCCAAACTAAGCAGAAGAAAATAAATAATCAAAAAAATTTGAGCAAACATTAATGAAATGTAAAATAAATAAAAACCAAAAAAAGAAATAAAAAAACTTGCTTGAAAAGATCAATTTTATTGATCTTGGATAGCCAGGTTAACTGAGAGAGAGAGAAGGAGAGAAGACACAAATCACTAATATCAGAAATAAAAGAAAGCCCACCATCACTACTAATCCGTGGATATTTAAAGGGAAATAAAGAAATATTACGAACAACTTTGTCACTACATATTTGATAACTTAGGGGAAAAAAACCCAATTACCCAAAAGACACAATCTACTAAAACTCACACAAAGAGAAATAGTTAATTTAATAGGTCTATACTGAAAAAGAAATTGAGTGAATACTCAATAATCTTCTAAAACTGAAAAAGAAATTGAGTGAATACTTAATAATCTTCTAAAACAGAGAGTACCAGACCCAGATGATTTCATTGGTGAATTCTACAAAACATTTAAGGAAAAAACAATAAAAATTCTTTACAATCTGTTTCAAAAAACAGATGCCAAGGAATGGCTTCCTAACTTATTCTCTGAGGTCAGCATCACCCTAATACCAAATGCAGACAAAGACTTTCCTTACAAGAAAAGAAAACTACAAACCAATATTTCTCATGAATATGGATGTAAAGCTCCTCAACAAAATATTAGCAAATCAAATCCGACAGTGCACAGAACTATACACCACCTGCAAGTGGAATTTATTCCAGGTATGTAATATTGGTTTAACATTCAAAAATCAATTAATGTAATTTATCATATCAACAGATTAAAGAAAAAAATCATGTGATCATATGCATAGATGTAAAAAAAGCACTTGACAAAATCCAATATCCATTTATGATACAGATTCAGCAAACTAGGAATGGGGGGAGTTTCCTCAACTTGATAAAGAGAATCTACAACAAACATACAGCTAACATCACACTTGATGGTGACAAACTTGAAGCTTTCCCACTAACATTAGGAAGAAGGCAAGGATGTCCCCTCTCACCACTTCTATTCAACATATTAGGAGTTCTAGCTGGTGCAATTAGATAAGAAAGGAAAATAAAAAGTATACAGATTTGGAAAGAAGATATATAACTGTCTTTGTTCACAGATGACATAGTTGTCTATGTAGAAAATTTTAATGAATCAACATAAAACTCCTGGAACTAATAAGTGATTATAGCAAAGATGTAGAATACAAGATTAATATAGAAAAGTCTATTGCTTTCCTATATACCTCTGTGTTTCTGAAATTAAAAGGAACACTTATATTAGCACCAAAACAATGAAATTCTTAAGTATACAGCTAACAAAACTTTTTACAAGTTATACTACAAAACTCTAATTAAAAAAAATCAAAGATATACAGGCAAGATAAAGAAATAAAAGCATTCAAATAGGAAGAGAGGAAGTCAAACAATTCCTATTTGCAGATGTCATGATCCTCTATCTAGAAAACCCCATAGTCTTTGCCCAAAAGTTCCTTGATATGATAAACAGCTTCAGCAAAGTTTTAGGATACAAAATCAACATACAAAAATCAATAACATTCCTATATAACAACAGCATCCAAGCTGAGAGCCAAATCAAGAACACAATCCATTTCACGATAGTGCAAAAAGAATAAAATACCTAGGAATATAGTTAACCAGGAAGGCAAAAAATCTCTACGAGAATTACAAAACACTGCTCAAAGAAATAAGAGATGACACAAACAAAGGGAAAAACTTTCCATGTTCATGGATAGGAAGAATCATTATTGTTGAAATGGCCATATTGCCCAAAGCAATTTACAGATTCAGTGCCATTCCTATCAAACTACCAATGACATTCTTCACAGAATTAGAAAAGACTATCATATGGGATCACAAAAGAGCTCTAATAGCCAAAGCAATCCTAAGCAAAAATAAGAAAGCTGGAGGCATCATGTTACCTGACTCCAAACTATGGGCTACAGTAAGCAAAACAGCATGGTTCTTGTACAAAAAGAGATGCATACATCAATGAACAGAATAGAAAGAGCCCAGAAATAATGCCACGTGCCTACAACCATCTGATATTTGGCAAAGTTGACAATAACAAGCAATGGGAAAAGGACTCCCCATTCAGTAAATGGTGCTGAGATCACCAGCTAGTTATATGCAGAAGATTGAAACTGGACCCCTACATTACACTATGTACAAAAATCAACTCAAAATATATTAAAAACTTAAATCTAAAACCTAAAACTATAAAAACCCTAGAAGATAATTCAGGAAATACCTTTCTGGACACAGGACTTGCAAAAGATTTCATGACAAAGACACCAAAAGCAATTGCAAAAAAAAAAATTGACAAATAGGATCTTATTAAACTAAAGAGCTTCTGCACAGCAAAAGAAACTATCAACAGAGTATACAGATAACCTATAGAATAGGAGAAAGTATAGCTATACATCCTTATTGATCCAGAATCTATAAGGAACTTAAACAAATGTACAAGCAATTTTTTGTAACAACAACAATCCCATTAACAAATAGGCAAAGGACATAAAAAGACACTTTTCAAAAGAAGACATATTAATACAAATGTTCAAAAAACATATGAGAAAATGTTCAACATCACTAATCGTTAGAGAAATACAAATCAAAACCACAATGAGATAGCATCTCACACTAGTCAAAATGGCTATAATTACAAAGTCAGAAAATAACAGATTCTGGTAAGGTTGCAGGGAAAACGAATGCTTATATGCTGCTGGTGGGAGTATAAATTAGTTCAGACATTGCAGAAATCAGTGCGGTGAGTCCTCAAACAACTTAAAATAGAACTGCCATTTGACCCAGCAATCCCATTACTGGGTATATAGCCAAAGAAATATAAATCATTCTGTTATAAAGACACATGCACAGGTATGTTCATTGCAGCACTATTCACAATAGCAAAAACATGGAATCAACCCAAATGCCTATCAATGGTAGACTGCATAAAGAAAATGTGGTACACATACACCATGAAATATTATGCAGCCATACAAAAGAAGAATGAGATCATGTCTTTGCAGGAACATGGATGGAGCTGGAGGCCATTATTGTTAGCAAACTAATGCAGGAATAGAAAACCAAATACCACACATTCTCATAAGCAGGAGCTAAACAACTAGAACACGTGTATATTGGGAGGGGAACAACATACACTGGGGCCTACTTGAAGGTGGAGGGTGGGAGGAGGGAAAGGATCAGAAAAACTGTCTATCAGGTACCACGCTTATTACCTGGGTAATGAAAGTATCCGCACATCAAACACCTGTGGCACACAATTTGCCTATATAATAAACCTGCATATTTACACTTGAACCTAAAATAAAATTTTTAAAAAATCAAAGATATAAATAAGTTGAAAGATATCTCATGTTCACGGATAGATAAGAAGATTTAATATTGTTTAAGATGTCAGTCTTTCCCAACTTAATTTTATTCAGTGCAGCACAATCAAAATCCCAGCTACCTATTTAGTGGATATCAAAGACTAATTCTAAAGTTTATACAGAAAGGCAAAAGACCTGGAATAGCCAACACAATACTGAAGAAGAATGAAGTTGGAGGACTGGCCAGGCTCACACCTGTAATCCCAGCACTTTGGGAGGCTGAGGTGGGTGGATCATCTGAGCTCAGGAATTCGAGACAAGCCTGGCTAACATGGTAAAACCCTGTTTCTACTAAAAATACAAAAAAATTAGCCAGGCATGGTGGTGCACACCTGCAATCCCAGCTACTGGAAAGGCTGAGGCAGGAGACTCACTTGAACCTGGGAGGCAGAGGTTGCAGTGAGCCGAGATTGCACCATTGCACTCCAGCTTGGGCAACAAGAGTGAAACTCCATCTCCAAAAAAAAAAAGAAGATGGAAGACTGACACAATCCAACTTCAAGGCTTACTACTATAAAGCTACAGTAATCAAGACAGTGTGATACTGGGAAAAGAAGAGACAAAGAGATCAATGGAACAGAGTAGAGAGCCCAGAAATAGATTCACAGAAATATAGTCAACTGATCTTTGACAAAAGTCAATATCAACAGTGACAAATCATGTTGATAGCATGTAATATTATTATAACGTGATGAACATTGCTTCTCTACCTGTGTGGTCTACATATAACCTACATCTAATCATGACAAAAATATCAGATATACATCACATAAGTTTCAAAAAAGGGGCATCTTATAAAATTCTTAATCCTCAACACTGTTGAAATCTTCAAAAACAAGGAAGGTCTGAGAAGCTGCCACACCAAGAAGAGCCTAAGGAGACATGACGAGTAAATGTAATGTATCCTGGATGGAATCCTGGGACAGAAAAACATGTTAGGTAAAACTAAGAAAATCAGAATAAGCTCTAGATATTAGTCTCAGTATTGATTCATTAATTGTAACAAATATACTATACTAATGAAAGATACTAATTTTAGGGAGAAATGGATGAAGGAGTATTTGGGAACTCTCTATACAATCTTTTAAATCTTTTTGACAATTTAAACTGTTCTAAAAGGTAAAGTTAATTTTTTAAAAAAACCAGTAACTGCAGCAAGGGTTTACATCTTAGATGAAAAGAAGACTTTTTTGAGGACTATTGTATCACTGATGTTGTTGAGTATTGCCAGTCCATTGTGATCATAGAAAACCAACTGTCTTTTAGTTGGTTTTCTAAATTATCTCCTGACAAGGCACACACTATTGTCTGAGCTGAGGGTGGACACTCCCACTGTCTCATCCTTGGTATGCACTGCTCCAAACCTTTATATATTTGTTTATGATGATTTCTGTCTTATTTGATATATTTGCTATCTTATTTAATATATTTCTGTCTTATTTGATATATTTTTGGAAATATTTGATATATTTTTGAGATATTTGATATATTTGCTATCTTTTGAGATATTACTGCAATAAGCAGTAAATATTCAGAATGCTAACTCTAATTCAGGTTTCAACAGTGTCTCTTTTCTCTTGTAACTCATCCACTGAATTTTTGGAGCAGAAAATTATGTTTATTTTTAGCTCCAGAAACTCTTTTGTACTGCTCTTGAATCCATGTAAATGTCCTTTCCCTCTTCACCTCCTCCAATTTTCTTCCAGCTGCACCCTTGTCCTCTAGCAGCTCTCTTTCTCCAGGTGTGAGTTATATTTGTTGTGGGATAATCTTACCCTCTGGCTGGCATGATCCTGTGGGCTAGGTGTTGGCTCATCAGGGCTCAAGTCTAGCTGTTGGTGTTCCCTGCATGGCAGCAGCTCTACAGGTTGTAGAAGGTGCAGAGATTTCTGCCTCCATGTGCTGGTGACACTGCAGCAGGCTGACTGCAGGTCATGTGCTGAAACCCTTGTTCCTCCATCCTGTTTGCGTTTCCCTAGCTGCAGGGTCAGGAGGACTCAGCCCACATTTAGTATCTTCTTGACCAGGGAAACCAGGCAGGCTCATGGGGCTGATGGGAACTTCCCCCAAGGCTTCCCAGGATTTTCCTAGCAGCTCCCCAGTGTTGACTTCCAGGCACCTGCCACTGAGCTACTGGGGAGAAGGCACCACAGAGGTCTTCTTTTTGAGATGCTCATAGAAGCCCAGGCTGCATGAGCACCCAGATAGATGCTCAGAGTCTCAGCAGCTGATTGGTGCAGAAAAGGTACATGTGGGAATGAAGGAAATGGATCTGGGCTCAGGTTACCATATTCCCAGAATTCTCCCTAAAAGATGGTGTTTGCTGTGCATTGTAAATTTATTATTTCTTCCTGGCCTCCCATCTCTGGCATCAAGTATTCTCCCACTTCAAATACTCAAATACACCAGTCATATTGCATCAGGGCCCACCCTAATGCCTCATATGAGGCACTTACTTTTGAAAAGATCCCATTTCCAAATAAGGTCACATTCTGAGGTACTGGGGTTAGGAGTGCAACAGATATTTTTTGAGGAGCACAATTCAACGATTACACCCTCTGTGATCATTTTAGTTGTGAATACTTTTACCAGTGACTTCCTCTTTTAAGATTTTTGGTGTTTTTTTTTACCATAAAAATTATATATTTTTACATGGTTAAATGAGTCAAATTGTTTCTTTTGGACGTCTGAGAATGAAAACACTTTCGATTCCAAGGTTTTAGGATTACTATTCTATATCTTATTGAAATAATTTTATTGATGTTTCATGTTTAAATGTTTAGTCCATTTGGAAATTAATCTATGTATGGTACAGAGTGTCTGTTGACTTAAGCACAAACATGTCTTTCTTAAGGACAAACATTAGTTCTTGCCACAGCAAGGAAGAAAATGTCTCCTAACTGACTCTTAATTAGGAAGAACACACTTCCTCCCATGGAATCAGTAAATCACACTATTATCCAAAGTGGTATTTAGTTCTTTGTTCTTTTTCTGCTTCCCTTTCAGGCTTAGCAGGGTAAGAAAGCAGCCACAAACCTGCTATAAACACCTCTCCCTTAGCAACACAATTAGAGCCTTAGAAATGCACAGTCTAGAAAAGACTGGATTAAATTATTTGCCAAGAACAGTTACTCTCTCTCCTCAATCTCCATCTGGGTGAAAAGAAGGGTGTTACCCATTCTTACATACATGCACATACACACATGTCACACACGTATGTTATATGTATGTATATAGAAAATATTGAATTAAAAAACACTCTAAAACCTAGTTTTCTGTACTTTCTTATTTTCTAGAAATGGACAATTAATATAATGACAATTTTGTCTCTTTTCTTTCCAATGTTTTTAAGCTTTTTTTTTTGTCCTATTGCATTGTCTAGAAGTTTATGAACAACTTTGATTGATAGTTATAGGTTTACAGCACTTCACCTGCAATTCCTAAATGCCAAAAAACTCTGAAATCTAAGGTCTGTGGCAAACTCTTTGGGTAATAAAATCTGGCCTGAACCAATGAGGACTATTTATACTCTTCAAGTATACAACTTGGGGCAAGAGCATTTGGTGACCTAGGCAGTAATGTGCTCGATTATGGACTGTCCTCCCGGTCCTCATTGGGGTTGTTTTCCAAGGTATAATATATGTATGACATTATCTTTGAGAAATCTGAAAAAAAAAACCTGATTGTGAGATTTAATTGATCCCAAGGATTTTAAAGGGTTTCTGGGATCTTAGATCATGAATAATGCATATGTTTGTCTCTAGTGTTTAATCATTCAACTTGTCGTAAGTTGTTGGCTTGTGACAGATACTTTTTAAATTAAAGGGGTTTTCCATGCCATGAATATTTATTGATTTATTTACTTTTTCTACTACTTCTTGGTCATTTATATTTTCTATGAAAAGTATCAACTGTATTTAGACTTTGAAATGTTTTGGGACTTCTGGTTTTTGGTGTGAAATATAAGGAGATTGGTCTTCACTCCCATCCTTGTAATAAGAAGAAAGCAAAACCAAACTGAAAATTAACAACTCTTCTTAGATCCATAAAGAACTGAGACCACAGGGCAAACAACGGCCTCCACAACCCCCATTCTGGTTCCAGAGTCACCAAACTCTTTTCCTTTGTGCATTTGAGAATGTGATAAGAATCCATCTTGGAGAGTCTTGGAGAAACCTGCTGTTCTTAACATAAGTTAACCCCAATCTAGCTAAATTCTGTTTTCCCTAATGTACTTTGAAAAGTTTGATTAGGTCCATAGAGAGTTTTTCTTTTTCAAAACATGATAGATAAATACTGATATACAATATAATACCACTTAAATACTTTCCACATATGTATAAGGCTTATCTGTGCATTTAAAACAAAGTTGTGGGATATTTTGTGGACCAAACTTGAAATGCTGGCTACGGTGGAACTGGAGATGGGGATGGGAAGGAAGCCTGGGGGACTGTGTGTGATGATGGGGCCCTCCCCTTTATAGAGATACATGTCATACACACACACACACACACACACACACACACACACACATAATTGTAGTAAAAAATACATAGCACAAAATGTACCATTTTAACCATTTTTAAGTGTATAGTGCTGAGGTGTCACATCTATTCACATTATTGTGAAACAAATCTCTCTGGAGCTTTTTCAAGTTGCAAGTCTATGCCCATTAAACAGCAGCTCCCCTTCTCTCCTTCCCTTCTTCCCTTGGTCACCACCGTTCTACTTTCTGTTGCTATGAATCCAGCTACTTTAGATAGCTCTTACAGCAGGATCATACAGTACAAATACTCCTCGACTTACAATGGAATTATGTTGATAAACCTGTGGTTAGTCAAAAATACATTTAATACACCTAACCTATTGAACATCATAGCTTGGACTAGCCTATCTTAAACGTGCTCAGAACACTTACATTAGCCCACAGTTGGGCAAAATTGACTGGCAAACAAGTGTGGAAGCTGTGACTCGTAGCTACTGCCCAGCGTTGAAAGAGACCATGGTACTGAATATCCTTAGCCTGGGAAAGATCCAAATCTAAATTTCAAATATGGTTTTTACTAAATGGATATTGCTTTCGCACCATTGTAAAGTGGAAAAATTGTAAGTCAAAACATCATAAATCAGTGATGACCTGTACTCCTCTTTTTTCTGACTGGCTTGTTTCGCTTAGCATAATATCCTTAAAGTTCATTTATGTTGTTGCACAAGACAAAATTTTCTTCCTTTTTAAGGCTAAATCATATTCCCTTGTAGGCACATACCACATTTTGTTTATTTATTCATCCATAAAGGGACATTTGTGTTGCTTTCACCTATCAGCTGTTGTGAATAATGTTGCTATGAACATGGGTGTGCAAATATCTCTTTGGGGGACTGCTTCCAGTTCATTTGGGCATTTAAACAGAAGTGGAATTGCTGCATCATATGGTAATTCTATTTTTAATTTTTTGAGGAACTGTTGTATTGTTTTCCACAATGGCTGCACCATTTTATATTCCTACTAACACTGCACATGAGGTCCTCCACATCGTTTCCAATTTGTTCTTTTTTTTCTTTTTTCTTTAAATAGTAGTCATTGTAATGAGTATGAGGTGATAGCTCAATGTGATTTTTATTTGAATTTCTCTGATGATTAGAGATGTTGCCATCTTTTCATTTGTTTCTTGGCCATTGGTAAATAATGTTAGGAGAAATATCTATTCAAGTCTTTTGATCATTTTTAAACCTGGTTGATTTCTTGTTGTTGAGTTATAACAGTTCTTTTGTAAATTCTGGCTATTAACCCCTTATCAGATATATGATTTGCCTGTTCACTCTGTTGATCTTATCCTTCGATAAACATTTGCAAAGTTTAACACAGTCCCATTTGCCTATTTTTGCTTTTGTTGCCTGTACTTGTGGTGTCATTATCCAAGAAATCATGCCAAGTACAATGTCATGAAGATTTTCCCCTGTAGTTTACTCTAGTTTTATAGTTTTAGGTATTACATCTTTAATCCATTTTACCTTAATTTTTGTATATGCTATAAGGGTCCAAATTTATTATTTTGCAGGTGGATATCCAGTTTTTTTCCTTAATGTGATTTCTTGAAAATACTTTCCCTTCTCCATTGAATGATCTTAGTACCCTTGCTGAAGTTCATTTGACCATACACGAGTGTTCATTTGGGGTCCTCTCTTCTATTCCATTGGTCTATTTGTCTGTTTTTATGTTGATAACACACAGTTTTGATTACTGGAGCTTTGCAGTATGTTTTAACATCAGGAATATCAGGGCTTGTGAGTCCAGCTTTGTTCTTCTTTTAAAATATTGTTTCAGCTATTTGGAATCTCTTGAGATTTCACATTAATTTTAGAATGACTTTTTCTATTTCTGCAAACAATGCCTTTGGGATTTTGATAAGGGTTGCATTGAATCTGTAGATCACTTTGGGTAGTACAGATATCTTAACAATATTGTCTTCCAACTTAAGAACACAAACTATCTTTCTATGTATTTAGTCTTCCTTAATTTCTTCCAGCAATATTTTACAGTTTTTAGTGTACAAGTCTTTCTCCTTCTTTAGAGTAGATTTATTACTAAATATGTCATTCTTTCAATGCTGTTGTAAATAGGATTTTTTTTAATTTCCTTTTTCAAGTTGTTCACTATTGCTGTATAGAAATGCAAGATTTTTGTTTGCTGATTTAAAATCCTGCAACCTTGCTGAATTTGTCTATTAATTCTAATAGTTTTTCTGTGTGTGAAAGCTTCTGGGTTTTCTACATAAAAAAACATGCCATCCGTGAGCAGAGATAATTTTATTTCTTCCTTTTCAATTGGATGCCCTTTATATATTTTTACTATCCAATTGCTCTGGCCAGGACTTCCAATGCCATATTTAATAGAAGTAGTGAGAGGGGAGATCCTTGCCTCATTCCTGATCTTAGAGGGAAAGCTTTCAGTTTTTCACTGTTGAGTATGATGTTAGCTATGGGCTTGTATAAACTGCCTTTAGTATGTTGAGGTGATTTACTTCTATTCCTATATTGTGGAGTGTTTTTATCATGAAGGGATGTTGACTCTTGTTAAACGTTTTTTCTGCAACAATTGAAATGATCATGTGGCTTTTGTTCTTCATTCTGTTAATGTGTTATAACTTTGATTCGTTTTCATAAGTTAAATCATCCTTGCATTCTAGGAATAAATTCCACTTTATTTAGGTCATGGTGTATAATCTTAATGTGCTTTGAATATTGTTTGCCAGTATTTTGCTGAGGATTTTGGCATCTACATTCATCAAGGACATTGGTCAGCAGTTTTCTTTTCTTTTTTTTTATATTTTTTATTTTTTTTTATTATTATACTTTAAGTTTTAGGGTACATGTGCACAATGTGCAGGTTAGTTACATATGTATACATGTGCCATGCTGGTGTGCTGCCCCATTAACTCGTCATTTAGCATTAGGTATATCTCCTAATGCTATCCCTCCCCCCTCCCCCCACCCCACAACAGTCCCCAGAGTGTGATGTTCCCCTTCCTGTGTCTATGTGTTCTCATTGTTCAATTCCCACCTATGAGTGAGAATATGCGGTGTTTGGTTTTTTGTTCTTGTGATAGTTTACTGAGAATGATGATTTCCAATTTCATCCATGTCCCTACAAAGGACATGAACTCATCATTTTTTATGGCTGCATAGTATTCCATGGTGTATATGTGCCACATTTTCTTAATCCAGTCTATCATTGTTGGACATTTGGGTTGGTTCCAAGTCTTTGCTATTGTGAATAGAGCCGCAATAAACATACGTGTGCATGTGTCTTTATAGCAGCATGATTTATAGTCCTTTGGGTATATACCCAGTAATGGGATGGCTGGGTAAAATGGTATTTCTAGTTCTAGATCCCTGAGGAATCGCCACACAATGGTTGAACTAGTTTACAGTCCCACCAATGTGTAAAAGTGTTCCTATTTCTCCACATCCTCTCCAGCACCTGTTGTTTCCTGACTTTTTAATGATTGCCATTCTAACTGGTGTGAGATGGTATCTCATTGTGGTTTTGATTTGCATTTCTCTGATGGCCAGTGATGGTGAGCATTTTTTCCTGCGCTACCTGACTTCAAACTATACTACAAGGCTAGAGTAACCAAAACAGCATGGTACTGGTACCAAAACAGAGATATAGATCAATGGAACAGAATAGAGCCCTCAGAAATACCGCCGCATATCTACAACTATCTGATCTTTGACAAACCTGAGAAAAACAAGAAATGGGGAAAGGATTCCCTATTTAATAAATGGTGCTGGGAAAACTGGCTAGCCATATGTAGAAAGCTGGATCCCTTCCTTACACCTTATAGAAAAATTAATTCAAGATGGATTAAAGATTTAAATGTTAGACCTAAAACCATAAAAACCCTAGAAGAAAACCTAGGCATTACCATTCAGGACATAGGCATGGGCAAGGACTTCATGTCTAAAACACCAAAAGCAATGGCAACAAAAGACAAAATTGACAAATGGGATCTAATTAAACTAAAGAGCCTCTGCACAGCAAAAGAAACTACCATCAGAGTAAACAGGCAACCTACAAAATGGGAGAAAATTTTTGCAACCTACTCATCGACAAAGAGCTAATATCCAGAATCTACAATGAACTCAAACAAATTTACAAGAAAAAAACAAACAACTCCATCAAAAAGTGGGCAAAGGACATGAACAGACACTTCTCAAAAGAAGACATTTATGCAGCCAAAAAACACAGTTTTCTTTTCTTGCAGTGTCTTTGTCTGGATTTGGTATCAGGGTTATGCTGACCTGTAAAGTAACCTAAGTATTCCCTCCTCTTTAATTTTTTGGAATAGTTTCAGGAGGATTGGTGTTAATTATTTTTAAATATTCTGTAGAATTCTCCAGTGAAGCCATCTGGTCCTGGACTTTTCTTTGTTGGAAGGTATTTGATTACTGATTCAATTTCCGTGCTTGTTATTGGTCTGTTCAGACTTTTCGTTTCTTCATGGTTCAGTCTTGGTAGGTTGTGTGTTTCTAGGAATGTGTTCATTTCTTTAGGTTATCAAGTTTGTGGAAATATAATTGTTCTTAGTATTCTCTTATAATCCTTTTTATTTCTGTGGCATCAGTTGTAATGTCCTTTCTGTGACTTCCGATTTTAGTTAGTTGAGTCACGTCTCTTTCTTTCTTAATTTAACTAAGGGGTTGTCCATTTTGTTGATTTTTTTTTTTTGAAACCGAATCTGGTTTCATTGATTTCACTTCTATTCTCTATTTTAATCATTTATGCTATAATCTTTATTTCCTTTCTTCTCTTAGCTTTAGCTTTAGTTGTTCTTTTTCTGCTTTCTTGAGATGTAAAGTTAGGTTGTTTATTTGAGATATTTCTTCTTTTTAATATAAGGCATGTATTGCTATCAACTTCCCTCTTAGCACTGCTATTGCTGTAGCCCATAAGTTTTGGTATGTTGTGTTTTCATTTTCACTTGTCCCAAGGTATTTTCTAATTTCCACTGTGACCTCTTCTTTGACCTATCGGCTGTTCAAGACTGTGTTAATTTATTTACACGTTTGTGGAGTTTCCAATTTTCCTTGTGCTATTGATTTCTAGTTTAATTTCCTTGTGATCGAAAAAGGATATTTTGTGTAATTTCAACCTTTTTGAATTTGTTAAGAGTTATTTTGTGACCTTATATGTTGCCTTTCCTGGAAAATGTTCCCTGAACACTTGAGAAGATTGTGTACTCTGCTGTTGTTGGGTGGAATCTTCTCTGTATGTCCGTTAGGTCCAATTGGTGTAAAATGTTTCAGTCTTCTATCTCATTATTGATCTTCTGCTTAGTTATTCTATCCATTATTGAATGTGAGGTATGGAAGTCTCCTACTATTATTGTGTTTCTGTCTATCTCCCTTCAGTTCTGTTAGTTTGCTTTATATGTTTAGGAGCTCTCTGGTTTGGTACCTAAATATTTTTTGTTATTATGTATTTTTGGTAAATTGACCCTTTTACCATTATACAATATCTTTTTTTGTCTCCTGTAACAGTTTTTGATTTAAAGTCTCTTTTGCCAGATATTGGTGTAGCAATTCCTGTTGTCTTTTGATTACCATTTGTATGAAATCTTTTTTCTATCCTTTCATTTTTAGGCTATTATATTTTCAGATCTAAAGTGAGTTTCTTGTAGACAGCATATAATTGTATCCTGTTTTTGAATACATTTAGCAAATCTATTTTTTTTTTTGAGACAGGGTCTTGATCAACTGTTGCCCAGGATGGAGTGCAGTGGTGAGACTGTGGCTCACTGCAGCCTGAATCTCCCAGGCTCAAGCAATCCTCACACCTAGCCTCCCCAGTAGCTGTGACTACAAGTGTGCACCACCACACCTGGCTAATTTTTAAAAATTTTTATAGTAATGGCAGTCTCACTATGTTACCAGGGCTGGTCTCAAACTCCTGGGCTAAAGCAATGTTCCTGCCTTGACCTCCCTACATGCTGATGTTACAGGTATGATATGCTGCGCCCAACCCAATCTGTATATTTTGTTTGTGGAGTTTAATTTGTTTACATTTAAAGTAATTATTTATAGGGAAGGACTTGATATTTTAGTTGTTTTATGGATCTTGTAACTTTTTTGTCCCTTCTTTCATCTCTTAGTGACTTCCTTTGTGTTTTATTGGTTTTCCACAGAAGACATAAAATTGAAAAGGTTTTACAACCAATTTAACACAGACTCCAGCCAATAATAATAGACCCTGGTTGTTCACCATCATACTATTGTACTGGTGTGCTCTTTTAAAAAAATGTCTAAATGTTGCATTAATTTGCATTTCTTTGATTACTTCTAAGATTGAGTATTGTTTTATTTCCTTCCTTCTTTCTCTCCTTTCTTCCTATTTCTGAGAATTGCTTTTTCATATTCTATGCTCATTTGGTGTTGATTGTCCATTTATTAATTTGAAATATTTTTTGTAAATTAACAATATTTACTTTGTCATATTTTGCAAATATTTTTCCTAGTTTGAAATTATCTTTTAGTTTTGTTTATGGCACATGAAAGATATATGCAAATTTATCATTATATATATTTAACATATGTAAGTTTTATAACATCATATAATCAAATCTATTCCTCTTTTCTTTATGGTTTCTGCCTCTAGTATTGTGTCATCTAGTGCTAGAATTACTTGTCAGGAGTCACATTTTCTTTTAAAACTATACTTCCAAGCATTACTTGCACTTTATTCTGTTCATAACAGTTTCAATGTTCAATCCATTGAATGTTCTATATCTTATGATAGTCCTTGAAATGAGCTGTTTTTTTTTAATTAGCTTTTGATTGATCAAGACATGTGTTCAAGTAAAATTTTCCTTTAGGTTTTATTGTCTATTTTTGAACCATTGTATTTCTGACAGTGTCTTTCTGTTGCTTTCTCATTTGAATAAAACCTGAATAAGAGCTCTTGATTTATAGACTTTTTCAGCAATGTTTTCTGTAGGTATTTCTCTATTGGCTTTTAAAGTTGCAAAAAGTGTTAGGGGTTTTTAAAATTTATTTGAAATTTTTTTCTTTTTTGGATAATTTGTATCCTTTATTGTCCACCCAACCCCTGCAGAAGGGAATTTTTTTTGAAAAAAGAATATGTGTGCCTTACCTGGATGCTTATACTTCATTTAATCTTGAAATAAAAATAATTGCGCATAGTAGTGTGTAAATATAAGTGCTCTGAATTTTAATTCAGGTATTTTTATAGCTCAGGAAAGTTTTCTGTTATAACTGTATTATTGTGTATACTGCGTGTGTTTTCTTCAGAACATTAATTACCCATATGTTAGATCTGCCATTTTCTTCCTCCATATCTACTATCTTTTTTCTCATGTTTTAAAATTCTTTGTCCCTATTTAATTGTTTACTTATTTTGCTTCTGGAAAAGTTTCTTAAATGACCAATGTTTAAGTTTTCCATTTATTTTTGTTTTGCTGTATAGATTTTTTTTTTTTTACTGATACATTGCATATTTTATTTCTGGTATTGCACTTTTAATTTCCTCGCCATTTTGCCTATAACTTCTTTATTTTCTTTCTTTATTTTCTTTCTTAGTTCTTTTCTTAGAAAATTAGCCAGCTATTTTTCAGGCTCATTGGAATCTGGTTCTATACCACGTTGCCTTCCCTTCTTATTTCTTGCTTTAAAGAGCCTACGTATGGTTGAGATTTATGGTTACCACAAAGCAGTTGCTCTCTAAAATTTCCCCCCTTCTTGGTAAATAAAGCAATGTTGAAAAACATACCTCCCTGCCTTTTTAATACCATGAACACTTACATCTTATAAACTGTAAAATATTTTTATAGGTCCCCTTTTTACTGGTGTTTACAACCTTGAACAAGGCAAGATCTATTCAGGCTAGACATTTGCCCGAAGCAGGCTATAGACACTCTCTTGATTCCTAGCATTGTCTCTCTGGTTGCTGTTAGTATTTATGCTGGCTGATGTAAAATATCATGCCCAATGAAATTATTAAATAAAACTGTGGGACCAGGAAGGGAAAATTAACACTTTGTGGTTGCATCATTTTTCACTATCTTGTTGGTGTCAGGATGAGGAATCTGGGAAGCAGGGTCTGTCCGTTGTCTGTTCAGCCTTCAGGTTGGAAAGAATAACACCATAACCTGTGTCTCCCTTTGTCATGATGAGCCAAAAGGATCTATAAAAAAACACCTCACCTCTATGTGCTAGCACCTCCAGGAAGTTTGTGGTGTCCAATAAGCAAGGGTCTAGGGAAGCAGTCTCTGCTTGGCTCCTGCTGCTGAGTGGTGAAAATTGGAGTACATTTAAGGCTACCTTGCTACTTGGCTTTATTCCGACAACTGAGCTCCCATCTCTCTCCAGATAATCCCAACCCCAAGGGCTTACATCTAATCTTTGGAGCTATTTCTGTTCTTCATTTTTATTTCCTTATCAGTCTCCTTTTAATGTTATGCCTGCATTGCTCACTCTTTCATGCCTACAGAAGTGATTCACAGTACAAGAATCTGAAGATCTTTCAAATTATTCAGTGATGGATCACCTAAAATTTTAAAGTATTTGCCTGTTTGCTGAAGATTCCTTCCAGCAATTTAAAACTTTGCTCATTCCCAATGGCTTCTTGGTCACTTCAGCCTACAAAATCTGACATTTGTAATAGATGCCATCAGGTGGTGTGGTTTGTGAGATGGCTCTGCCTTACCCCAGAAGGATGCAGCTTCAGGGGCTCTACCACTATGCTCACTTTTCTAGAAAATGAAAAGAAACACCTCTATTTGGAAACCTTGAGACCATTTTTGAGGTTTGGGGATAAAAGTGATTTGCCAGTGTGTCGTAGGTGGCCAGCAATGGGACCGGGGTTAGAACCCAAGCAGTCTTCCTGGCCCCAAGCTCTCATTTCCCCACTGCACTGTCCCCAGTCGTGCACTTCAACATGGGGCTGGGTTCAAAATTATTGCACCATCTTGCCACCTCTTGTTTTCTGGTAATCCCAAATGCTAGGGGATTCCAGTGCCAAGAGCCAAGAGTTCAAAGTAGTAAAGGAAGCATCCCAAGAAAAGGACTTTGTAGTCCCGACTGTACCAGCGTAGGTCACCCAGCACTGGCAGTGGGCAAACACCTACACGGAATGTTGTCACTGAGAAAAACGGCACGCAGAGCTAGCTGAAACTGAGAGTGCAGGAGGCCAGTGCTTCCCCTCTGCTGTAATGTCGATCCAGGGGCCACCACAATGGGTTCCACCGAATGTAGACATAGGACACTTGGGCGGTCTGATACTAAGTGTGCTGCTACCTGGCCAAGGCCAAGAACAAGCGCAGGGCACCAAAAGGACAATTATTCCTCTGTCGAGCTCCTACACATCCATTTTAGTCAGGATAGGGCATGTTATGCTGTGGTAATTAACCACTCTGAAACAGCATTGGCTTAATACACTTACGGTGTATACTCCCTCATCCAGAGTCCACTGCAGGTCCAGGCGACTCTCCATGCAAGGATTCAGCTGTCAGCTCTTGATCTTGGGACTTCAGAGGGACTGCCACAGTGGAAAGGTAGGACTGGAGGACCTGGCTCTGGCAACTAAAAGCTTCAGCCTGGAATTGACATCCGTCATTTCCCCTCACATTCCATTGGCCAGAACTGGTCCCATAGTCTCAGCTGCCAAGCGGGGAGGTACTGGCTGTTGTCAGTACTAGAAGTTTCTACCACAGCTCTGAAACCTGACCATTTTGAGAAGAAAGGTGAAGGGTAAAGTTTGGCATACTTTTCTTTTCTTTTTCCTGAAAGATAATGTAAGTACACAAGTCTTAAGTGCACAGGTTGATGAATTTTCACAGAGTATGCACTCCAAGCAGGACGCAGCTAAAGATATGCAGCACTCACAGCTCCCCACGCAGTATCCCGGTGCCCAAGCAACTACCTCCAAAATTCTCTCCTGACCTCTAACACTGTAGATCAGTCTTGCCTGGATTTTGTATTTTATATAATGGAATCCTTAGTTATGCACTCTATTGTAGCTTTGCATTCAATACTTTGAGATTTATCCATGTTGCTGCAAGTATTAGCAGTTTGTTATTTTTTTGTTGCTGTGCAGTATACCATTGCATTCTTAAAATACTACCATTTAATTAATCTTTCTAAAGACATTAAAGACATTTGTTGGGGGATTAAAATAAATAAGTAAATTTGCTGTAGGCGATCTTGACCATGATCAGGAACCTAGCACTCGGTTCCCTTGGATATACACGCTGGTTCCTATGGCAGGCGTTTGCTTACCTCCATTAGATGTTTCCACGTGGTTGCTCCAATCCACTCTCCCATCAGCAGGGTATGAGAGCCCAGCTGGTTGTTCCACAGTCTCATCAGCACTTGGCGTTGCTATTTTAGCCATCCAGTGGCTGTGATATGGAATCGAATGTCACTATTTGCAGTTCCCTGATGCTAAGTACCCTTTCGTGTGTGGATTGACTGTCTGGATCTCTCCTTTTGTGAAATATCTTTTCAAGTCTTTTGTCAATTTTTAACTGAGCTATCTATATTTTTCTTGTTGTAGGGGTCTTCATATTTTCTGGTCCTGAGTCGTTTACTGAACAAAAGGCAACTTTTTTGTGAGTCATCTTTTTACTCTTAATGGTGTCTTTTGAAGTTCATTTTAATAAAGTTCAATGTTTTCCTATTTCTTTTCCGTTTAGTATTTGACAGTATTTTGATATTGTTATCAAAATATACACAGCCAGTCCCCTCGTGCGTTATCCTCTGCTCCAGGGGGCTCTCAAGGGGATGAGATGCAGAGAAGGGGAGAAAACTGGAACCCCAAGTTCCCTGATTAATAAATAGGGACCAGCGCGAATCCTTACCACAGCAGGGGGCGAGGCATTGGAAGCCTGGGAAGGGAGACTAGACTCCCCTGCCCAGAGGCCCGGGCAGTAAGCAGGGAATGGAAGCAGAGGCGTGGGTCATGGGTGCTGCCCCACTGAAGCCCATGGTCCTGCCCCCTACAGTCAAGGGCTGACCAAGTCTCACCCTCAAGTCAAGCAAGTAGGCCACTCCCATTGCAGGGGGATCCAGGAAGGTCCCTGAAGAGTCCTCTGCTGTCCTTCCCTTCTGGTGACCACACCTGCGTCCACAAGAGGAGTGGCTGCCCCTGAGAGGGGACAGCAGCGCCCAGTGTCCCTCCTCGCCTCCGCGCGGCTGCTGTCCCTGTCCTTCCCTTCTGTGCCTGGCTGGAATCACGAACATGGAAGGCCCGTCTGCCTTTTCCGCTTCAGACTGCAACAGGGCTTTGCTCCAAAGTGCTGGGAAACGGCAGTTCCACTACTAGACAGGTCTGCACCCCAGAGAAATGTGTGTGCGCGTGCACCAAAAACACACGAGAACGCTCACAGCAACCTTATCCCTTCTAGCCCCAGACGAGTGCCCATCAACAGCAGAAGGGGTAGATAAAGCGGGGCTCACCCTCGCAGTGACCTGAACACGGCAGCGAGAGCACACTGCGTGGATGACACACAGCGCCGCGTGGAAGACGCTAAGCTCCGGGAGCCCGCGGTGTGATCCCCTCGCCCCAAAGCGGCGCAAGGGCCCCAGGCGCCAGGCCCTGCGGGGCCCGGGCAGCGCGCGACGCGCTGTCTCTCCACCTGGGGACGGCTGTCCGGCGAAGCCAGTAAAGCTCAGTAAGCTGTAGCTCAGGGGGCACGTCAGGACGCGCACTCCACGCCAAAAAGTTAAAAGAGGTCTGCGCCAGGGAGGCGCGCGGGCGGGAGACCTCGACTCTCAAAGCGCCTCCTCCAGGCTCTCCGCCGCGTCCTCTGGGGCTGGGGCGGAATCCTCGCATCCCCGCCGGGTCTCCCTCCAGGCCGCCGGGCTCCGAGCGGAAGGGCCGCTTCCATGGAGACGGCTTTTTTGAGCTCGGACAAAGCACTCTGGCTGCGGCGAAGGGCCGCGGCCGCCGGGCGGCGCCTTCCGAGGGCGCAGGGCGGACGCGGAGGCCCGAGAAGGCGCGGGGAGGGTGGGGAGGGTGGGGAGGCGAGAGGCCGGGCCTCCGCGTTCCCGTTCGCTGCGGGACAAAGCTCCCTGTCCTGTCCCTTCCTGGGGGCGCCCCTGCCGTGAGAAGCAGAGCCGGCGGTGGGGCCCAGCCCCTCCCAAGGGCGACTCCCCCACCCTCCACAGGCCGGGGCCTGAAGCCGTCACAGCGGGGTTCGCTGCTTCCCATTCAGGCTGTGATGGCCCGAGGCTCGGCGTGGTCTCGCTCTCTTCTCAATTAATCCATTTTAGGGGGACAGGCAATACATTTACATGGTTCAAACACAAAAATGATGGAAAAGTTAGCTTTGAAATACTTGCTTTCCCCCAGCCCTATCGACCCTGTTCTTCGGTGCCCCCTAAAGGCACCTTCTGCTCTTTATCTATCACAGGCTTATGCCAAATGCCAGCAAAAGAATGCAGCAGGGCCACTCCGCTTCTTTGTCACAGCAACCGGAGCCTAGGCTGCCCTTGTTGTGTACCCCTCCCCGCCTCCCTCCTTCCTTCCCTTCCTCCCGCCTTCTTGCTTTCCCTCCCTCCTCTCCTCCTTCCCTCCTTCCTTCCTTCTTCCTTCTCTCCCTCTTTCTTTCCTCCCTTCCTCATTCCTTCCTCCCTTCCTTCCCTCTTTCCTTCCTTCCTTCCTCCCTTCCTTCGTTCCTTCCTTCCCTCTCTCCTCCTCCCTCCCTCCTTCTTTCCTCCCTTCCTCCTTCCTTCTTTACTTCCTTCTTCCTTCCCTCCTTCCATCTTCCCTTCCTCCTTCCCTTCCACCCTTCCTCCTTCCTTCCCTCCTTCCATCTTCCCTTCCTCCTTCCCTTCCTCCCTCCCTTCCTCCCTTCCTTTCTTCTTCCTTCCTCCCTCCTTCTTCTCTCCTTCCTTCTTTCTTCCTTCCCTTCTCCCTCCTTTCCTTCCCTCCTTTCCTTCCTTCCTTCCTTCCGTCCTTCCTTCCTTCTTCACTCCCTCCCTTCCTCCCTTCCCCCTCTCCTTCCTTCCTCAGTCCCAGAGCCCTTTCCATAGGCCTGCACAGAGCTTTTTCATTCTTTCTGACATCCGCCTCAAGTGCTCCAAGGTGTACCCATGATCTTTTCAACGGACACCCTGTGGATAGGAACTTGGGCTGTGTGCTTGCCATTTTGTGCTCATACAGGTGTATCTATAGGGTCAATCTCCCCTGTTTTTGACATCCTGACCTACCGCCCGCTGACCCTCCAGCCCCACCATGGCAGTGTATCCAGTGTCAACTACCTGGAGACTTGCCAGGGCTATAAGTCTTGTGGCCCTGACTTCCTGGCTCAGCAGCCGTGAGTCTCTGCCTGCAGGGGACTCCTGCTGAGAGAGGACTTGACTGACCAGATCTGCCTCCTGGGCAGGCCCCTTAGATGGGACCTTGTGTGAGCCTTTGGTTTCCAAGGACCAAACCATGGAAGGCTCAGAGTGACTAAGAGGTTCAAAGACTCTTAGGCAGTGAGGCCCACAGGAGGTAGGAGCCCCCAGCGGTGTGATGTGGGAGCCGGGTCAGATGCAGAGGCGGAGGACGGGTGTGGATAGGGGCAGGCTGGAGGGGCTTAGCAGGGGGACCCCACACACTGGGCTGCCAGCCTGCAGCCTCCAGGGCCAAGTGTGAGGCCTGTGGGTGTGGGGGTCCTGTGTGTAAGGCCTTTGACTTCACCTGTGTGAGAAATGAATATCTCAGCCAGTGGGTGAGCTCTGTGTCCCACCCAAGCATGAAGCCCACTTTCTAATCTTCATGTGAACTTCATGATCCATGATGGAAGCTGATCATGATGGAAGCTGCCTGTGACACCTTATTCCTATCAGTATCCAATCAGTATCTGTCAAGCACTGTGGGAGGCTGTGCAGTTATTCCCAAGTTGTTCCCTGGAGACGGAGCTTCCCGGCCCTCGTGACTCAGTCTCTGCCACGGGCAATGAGCAGTGTGGCAGATGTGGCAGCTCCAGGCGCCATCGGTGGCTGCACTGTCGCTCTTTCTCCCTTGGCAGCAGCCTGGCACGTCTGGTAGGGGCTGCTGCATCAGCCTTGATTCTGGAATGAAGCTGACATGGATCAAGACCCAGCCATGCTGAGAGAGGCATAAATATGCGAGAGAAATAAACCTTTGTTATTTGAAGTCCCTAGGACGTGGGGTCGTTTGTTCTTTGGTATGACAGCTTAAGCTGGCCCATACAAGCTCTTACTCCGGCCAGGCATAGGACATAGAGCAGGGAATGGGACAGACGTGGTCTCTGCCCCTGTGGAAACATGAGGACCTGGGGAATGGCCACTCCCCCTGGCAGAGAAGCCTGGAGAAAGCAGGATTAGGGCAAAGGTCTGGAGTTCTGTCTTCAGTGTGCTAAGCTGAGGCGTCAACAAGATAGCCAAAGAGAATTGCCAAGTGTATGGTCAGGTGCACACATCTGCAGCTCAGGAGAGAGGCTTGGTGTGTAAATCTGGGCATCAATGGAACATGGATTGCCAGCGAGGAGCTAGGCACTGTGGGAAAGGAGGTAGCTCACACCCCTCAACCCCCACCACACCACGGTTTGGCCATTGGTTTGTTCCTGAAAAACATGAACCTTTTGGAAATCCACAAAAGTCTCCTAAGGGAAGAAGAAATGGGTGGGAGGAGACTTGCCATCGCATGTAGAATGTGGATTCAGGCTGCTTGTTTTTTAAATTATGAAATAGAAACCCCTGATAATTGAAGGACTTGGGGATATTAGAGTTGGAGGTATTTGAGTTCATATCCCAACCCCCTTAAAGTAGTGTTTCCAAAATTGGGTGTGCATATCACTGGTAGTACACAAGTTGATTTTAGGGGACATATGAAATCTGTTATTTTATAGTTGTGCTATTTTGTTTAGTTACCCTTTGTTTACGGCATGTGATACTGGTTTTCCATCTTCAGTGATGATATGTGCAAGTTACAGAAAGATATTTAAACAAAGGCAATAATTTGATTTAAAGGAAACTTTTAATAATCGCACATATATTGTATAAATATGCCATGAAAACTAAGTGACTCAAGTTTGAGAAACACTTCTTTAAAGGTAAATTCTGATGCCTGCATGCAACAGATGACAAGGGGGGTACGGTGTAGTTTAGTGGCCTGGCCAAGGGCCCTGGCTACTCCATGGTGCTACTGGGATACACAGCCAAACCCGGGAAGATGGTCCATGTCCTCCGAGGCCAGCTGGAAGGGCTTGTCCAGTGAGGCAGCTACAGGGCTGGGCCTGGAGCCCAGGGCTTCCCAGTGGATGCTACTGCTCAGCCCTCCTGGCCCACATCTCTTAACTCACTTGGAGGGGGTCCCTCCTGGAGGCAGGATGCCCCTTCACACCCTTATCCTCCCTTCTCATTTTCCAACGTGGCCAGCAAG
Organism: Homo sapiens; assembly: GCF_000001405.40. Taxonomy (NCBI): domain Eukaryota; kingdom Metazoa; phylum Chordata; class Mammalia; order Primates; family Hominidae; genus Homo; species Homo sapiens. The sequence goes on along the minus strand of NC_000003.12, from coordinate 126,209,745 downwards.
TGCTTTGATCTCTCTTGGAAATGTCTCTGGCCTCCTGACTTTAGGAATGAAAAATGTCCACACCGTGGCCTGGTGGGGGTGGGGTATGAGTGTTAAAAATCAGTCTTCCAAGTGGAAAAATATTTGATGGGAATTTTGACAAACAGTTGGGGAAGGATTAGGATAAGAATGAAGTGATTTATGGAAATGAAACTATGGCCGAAAAATTCAAATTTTTTTTGTCAGCATTCCAAATGACAAAATTATTTCATCACTAGACCTCGCCAAGGCTTTCTGAAAGTTGAATACCCATTGGTCTTCCAGGGTCCAGCTCATGCCCTGCACCAAGAGTAGGGATGGGCGAGGAGGGTGTGACCCAGCAGAGAAAGTTTCAGTTTGTGAGCAAACACCTGTCATGTCCAGGAGGCCTGGAGACCTTGTGGCTCTTGTCACATGATGAAGGGGTTGAAGAAATTCATCTACACACTGTGGAACCCGGACTCAGCCCTGGACCACAACTTTCCCTCTGTCATTCATTGGCTGTGACACTGAGAGATCAATTTCCCCTCTGAGCCTCAGTTTTTCCATTTGCAGAATTGGGGAAGGAACCCCCTCCCTCTTGGGTTTGTTGTGCGAAGGCAATGAGGTGTTTCCCATGTGCAGCTGTGAACACCATGAGAACACATGCCACTCCCCATCTTCCCAAGAGCCTTGACGCCTTCTGCATGGGCATGTCTTCCACCGCAAGCAATAGAAACTGTGTCTGGTTGACTGGAGCAAGAATTGGAGAGGATGTGGGTAGCTCTCAGAATCAAAGAAAAAGTGCAAAATCAACCCATAAGAGCCAGCGTGCAGACAGTCCCCTCTTAGGAACTGAGGGACACTCCTCAGGGAGCCATGGCAGCAGCACAGCAGGTCAGCTGTTTCCGTCTTGGCATGGCTCCACTATGACTCAGCGTCCTGGGGGAACCAGAGTCTGATTGGCTTGGCCCGTGTCCCAGCTCCTCGCCCAGGAAATGCCTCAATTGATTGTTACACCAGGACTGCATGCAACATAGACTTGTGCCCTAGAGCCAAATCAGTGAGTGCCATCAGAAGGACCGGGCATGGGGAATGAAAATAAACCACCACCGCCAACAAAAAAACGGGGGAACCAACCATAAATTCCTTCCGCTGAATGTTGGAGCCCATCTTTTCATTTGCATGATCCACCCTCTCCATTCTGTGTCTTCCAGTTGCAGCTACTCTTCAAGGATCACTAAGGACCATTCCACCTACTGAACAGTGATCACAGCATCAGTGTGTTAACTTCTGCTGTGAGCACCAATCTTCACATTCTCCAAAGTGCTGTGTGATTGCAGTTCCTATCATATCCACTCTTGTTGGCTTTTCACACGTACTGATGAGCTGTCAAGGCAGGAGATCCCCCATTTCCAGGGCCCTACAGAGGTTCAGATGAGAGAAGAGACAGGAAGTGAGTGACCTAAGCTCATAAGGCTTGTACGTGATGGAGCTAGGGCTTTACTTACTAATTTTAGGAATTTTTCTGTTTATTCTCTTGAGACTTCTGCAGATCAAAATCATTGTATCTGAAAATAGTAATGTTTTATGTCTTCTCTCTTAATAATTATGTATTCTATTTTGTTTTTATTTTATTGCACTACTAAAAAATTTTACAATAAAAAAGTGACAGCTGATACCTCTATTTATTTCCTGGACTTGATGAGCGTGTTTCTCAGGTTCTGCTGTAAAGCACAATGTGTAAAGTATGTAAAATGGTAATACTTGGCATACAGTAAGTGCTACATAGGTGTTAATATTTGCATCACTCTGTAGTTCTGAACTCATCTGCCTAACAAGCACAGCCTGCCCCCACTATCCCTCCTGTGCCCCAGACATGGGTATAGCTGAAGAGGGCCTTGGTTTGGTTTGATTCCATCATGTATGCACTCAGTGGAGACTCAGTAAGTGTTTATTAACTTAAAATGCATGCCCGAATGAACGAATCAGTCCATTGAGTTCTAGCGGCCCTTACCTGGGACACGCTGGCCTCATGGCCAAGGAAAAGAGCTTGCGGAACCAGGTGATGATTTTTAAAGCTTGGTATGGATAGTCTCCAAAGACAGTCACCATCAATTTCTTTCCTCCCTGTATGTGCTGGATGATTCTTACACCAAGTACTGGAATCTTGCCTTTGTCTTACTAACAAAGTCTGGACTAACCTTAGTGACTTGCTTAACCAATGGATTGTGATGGAAGTAACATTCTAGGACTTCTGAGGCTGGGCTTGTAAGATGCCTGGATCTCTTGATAATGTTCCCTCCTGGAATTTAGCTGTCAGGCTGTGAGAATCCCAAGCCATGTGGAGATGCCATATGTGAGTGCTCCAGTGAAGAGCCCCCACTGAGGCTCCAGGTGACAGTCAGAATCCACTGCTCACTGTGCGACTCGGCCATTTTGGACATCCGGCCCAGCTGAGCCTTCAGGTGGTGTGCAGCCGCAGCCAGAAACTGACTACCACACATAAGAAACCTAAGAAAGAACTACCGCACCCAGTCCACAGGGCCATTACATCATAATGAACCATTATTTTAAGCCACTCTGTGTTGGGATGGTGTTTTTGTTTTGTTTTGTTTTTTTGTTTTATTTTGTTTTTTGTGAGACAGAGTCTTGCTTACAGGCTGGAGTGCAGTGGCGCGATCTTGGCTCACTGCAAGCTCCACTTCCTGGGTTCACGCCTTCTCCTGCCTCAGCCTCCCGAGTAGCTGGGACTACAGGCGCCTGCCACCATGCCTGGCTAATTTTTTTTTGCATTTTTAGTAGAGACGGGGTTTCACCGTGTTAGCCAGGATGGTCTCGATCTACTGACCTCGTGATCTGCCCACCTCGGCCTCCCAAAGTGCTGGGATTACAGTGGGATGGTTTTAAAAGCAGTAACAGATACCCAGAGAGCTTCTGCTTAGAAGGCACACATCACTTCCCTGCTCAGAATCCAGCACTGAACTCCCAATTTATTGGTCAAGAAGTGATGTCCACAGGGCAGAAAAATATGGGCATTCCTCAAAGACGTAGCAAGTATTTAGGGATAATAGTAAGAGAATAAAGTGGCTGGATATAAAATAAACACAGTGATAAGTTGCATTTATATATACTTGCAACAACCCTTTACAAAATAAAGTGAACAAAGATCTCTTTTACAATCACAATAAAAATAAAATATCTAGAAACAACATTAGTGCCTTGGATACATCTAGTTCCTAGTACAATCCCCCAGGGAGGCTGTGAGAAGTTTTGTAATGAGCTTGTTAACAGAGATTGTATATTGGGAAATTTCCAGCAAATTTGCAAATTGGCATACTACTTCTGCCAAATGACTAAAAATGTTCTGTTGAACTGCTAAAACTTTCCTGTGTATGTGCTGAGGTTGTGATAAAATGGCAAAGTAGGATGGCTGGTCTGATTGGACTCCAATTGAAACATTCTCTCAAGTATGTGCTAAAGCAAAAAGCATGAAGTCAGCTGCAAGTGAACAAGTTGTCAGGCTTGTGCCTCAGCTTCCATGAAAGGAGCTGGCAGAGGCAGCCCTGCTGACCTCTGAGCTTTGCACGACCTGGGTGTCCAGCATAGATCTGGGTATGACCTCCAGGAGGAGGCAGGCAGCCTTCAGGGCTGCAAGCTTCTGTTAGAAGCTTAGCAAGCGTCTCTGACCATCACTTCCTCTGGAAATGTATTCTTTAATAAACCATTGCATTCATGAGTGAAATTGAATAAACATCCCAGGATTCTCAATCTTTGGGAAAAAGCTCATTCTAAAGTCACAAATTGTCTCACTAGAGAAAAATGCCACTGTATGCAGTACACACAAATGATTACATACTGCTTCTAATGGTTACTGACTCTGTGACCCTTGTCCCCAAGCCCCAAGTTGAGAAAAGCTTGTATTTTAGAGGTTTGAATGACAAGGGGAGGGAAAGGATAGGGAGATGAGACAATCCCTCCCCAAGATGAACCCTTCCCGCAGGTGTGTCCATCTCCTAGGTGCAGCCACCTCCCAGGTGTACCTTTCTCCCAGGTATACCCTTTCCCCAGGTATACCCACTCCCCAGGTGTACCTTTCCCCTAGGTACACCCTTTCCCTAGGTGTACCTTTTCTAGGTGCACCTTTTCCACAGGTACTCCCTTCCCCCAGGTGCACCCACATCCCAGGAACACCCTTTCTCCAAGTGTACCCACTCCCTAGGTACACCCTCTCCCCAGGTGCACCCACTCCTCAGGTATACCCTTCCACCAGGTGCACCCTCTCCCCAGGTGTACCCTTCCCCCAAGTGCACCATTTCCCCAAGTATACCCACTCCTTAGGTGCACCCTTCCCCCAGGTGCACCCTCTTCCTAGAGGCACCCACTCCCCAGGTGCACCCCCTCCCCAGGTGTACTCTTCCCCCAGCTGTGCCCTCTCCACAGATGTACCGTCTCCCCAAGTGCACCTACTCCCCAGGTGAACCTTCTCCCAGGTGTACCAACTTGCCATGTGTACCCTTCCCCCAGGTGCTCCCTCTCCCCAGTTGCACCCTTTCCTGAGGTACACTCACTCCCCAGGTACACCATTCCCCCAGTTGTACTTTTCATCCAGGTGTGCCCTTCCCACCAGATGCTCCTCCCCCTGGTGTGCCCTTCCCCTGGGTGTACTTGACTCACTTTCCTTCAGTAGGTTTCCGCTCAGTTATCACTCTATCATGAAGCTTCCCTCACCACTCTGTTTAAAATGCAACCTCCCTCAACTCTCCCTCTCCTCTCCCCTACTTTATTTTTCTCCATTTCATATAGCTGATAATTCCCATCTTTATTATGCTTATTGTCTGTTCCCAGTCAGGTAAGTCCTATGTGGTGTTTTTTTGAAATTTTGTTCTTTGCTATATCTCAGTGTCTGGGACAGTGTCCAACATATCCTAGGTGCTCAGTACACATTTATCAAGAGAATGAATGGATTGGACACATCCATCTCCCTTCCCTGACTCTGAACTTCTGGAGCACAGGGACCCTGCCTTTTTCATCCAGGCCAATACATAGCAAGTGCTTGTTTAAATGTTGGTTGAACTCAGTGGCCCACCCATTACAACATAAAGACACCAATACTTTCAGGAAGCTTCAGCGAAAAACCCTTATAGAAAAAACTCTCCCAGGTGTATGCCCTCTGCACCAATTGCAAAGCTCTCGACCTCATTAAAAAGCATTTCATTAGAAGGTGACTGATATGGTTTGGATTTGTGTCCCCGCCCAAATCTCACCTCAAATTGTAATCCCCAATGTTGGAGGAAAGGCCTGGTGCGGGGTGATTGGATCGTGTGGCCAGATCCCCACTGTTGCTCTTGGTATAGTGAGTTCTCATATCTGGTTGTTTAAAAGTGTGTGTCACCTCCCGCCTCTCTCTCCTCTTCTTCCTTCTCTGGCCATGTAAGATGTGCCTGCTTTCCCTTTGCCTTCCACCATGATTGAAAGTTTCCTGAGGCCCTCCCAGCTATGCTTCCTGTGGAACCATGAGCCAATTAAAACTTCTTTTCTTATAAGTTACCCAGTCTCAGGTAGTTCTTTATACAATGCGAGAACAGACTAATACAGTGACCTCATTGGGATTTATGCAATCTTATCAGAAATGAAATTTCACAAGTCCACAGTATCAGTGCCATGGGGAACCTAAGAATCCCGGAAGTCAAGGGCAGCTCTTTGCCTGTCCTGAGCCCTCAGCACAGGGAATCAGTGCTGTAATTGAACTCACTGGAGTAACCCTATAAATGGAGAGATGGCCGCGTGTGAGTCTAAGCAGAACTGGACTTGGCAGGGAGGACCCAGGCAGCCCAGGGACACGGTGCCCATGTTCCCGTTTCCTGTAGAACTTTGCAAGCATGATACCCATCTCTAGCATGAGCCATCAGGGCCCCAGCATGGACCTGAAATCAGAGCCTGCAACCCCCGTGTCTCCCTCCTTCTCTTTCTCAGCCTACATCCCTGCTTCCTTAGCCATCAGGCCCTGCTAGGGAGGCTGTCCCAGCCCTACCTGGCCTGACCTTTGGGGCCTGAGAGGGTAAGTCCAGCCTAGGTGTGTGTGTGGGGGGGTGGGGTAGACAACAGCCAACTGCCTTAGGAGCAGGTTCCCTACACACAGACCCCTGCTCCCTGAATGTGGCAGAGGGATATCCAAGGACGTGTATGTGTTTGCCTGTTCATTAGCTCACTAAGCCCTGCCTTCTGCAGACACCCTGGTGGTGCTAGGTGTACAAGGATGAGACAATGGACCTCCCCTTCTGCACCTGAAGTGGGCCTGCTGCACACATCCAACAAGAGTGGAAATACCAAACACATTAATAAGTGCTTCCAAATAATACGCTTGCACAGCTATTGCCCAATGAGTAATTTCTGATATGCTCTGCGGAGTGTTTGTCAGGACAGATGAAGATTTATTCCTTGTGCCAGCCCCCTTCTCTGCATTTTCCCTTTCTCCCCAACCCTCCAATCTCCCAGTACGGATGTAGTAAAATATTGATAAATTTTACAATCTATTATACATTAGTAGTCTATTAAGACTATGTACCACACTGCAAACGCAATAGTAGTATATGGTGGGGTTTTTTCCTAGTCCAACTTTTTGTTTCGCTTAGAGTTAGTGATGACCTCATTTTAAAATTTGCTTCATTTTGGTGCACTGATCTTTATTTATTTTTTCAAAATGCTGCATTAGACCTGTCAAGTACATGGCCATATCCTTTATAAGGTGCCTCATCTTGCAGACTCTGTCAACCCCACTGTGCCCCAGCACCTCTGCCTTGCTGCACAGGACCTCTGGCTGCCCAGCCTGCAGGCATCCTGAGACTGACTGTAGCCCGTGTCCTGTACCAGTACCCGCCCCCACGGCTCCTGCATCCAGATCTTGCTGTTCCTTTGTTTGTTCTGTTTTTTTTTTCTTTTTTTTTTTTTTCTGGATTGCGTGCTCCAGTGGCTTCTAAAAAAGAGTTTTGAGGAAGGGGGCATATTTTCAGTCCTTCTTTGAGTTAACAAGTGCTCCTGTTTCATTGTCTCATGTTTCATTGGGAATAAAATATTTAAAAGTGGGTTCCTGTCTTCCTTTCAAGTGCAGCACCACCTTTTTCCAAGATGCTGTTGTTATTTGCATCCTAGTTTCCTTGTCCAAGAGCTGTGTGGATGTGGTTGTCAGCATCTCTCCTTTCCCTTTCTCATGAATGTCTGCTTCGCAACTCATCCTTAGTGGGCATGAGGCCAGTCTTTGCCATCTGGGTGTCCTGGCCCTTCAAGTCTGAAATGGAACTGGCTGAACTTCCCACCTGCTGTGGTGGAGTCTGGGGCCGTAGCTAAGAAGGCACAACACTGTGATTGTCTGAGAATGTCTGCAATTGTCTGTGATTGAACGCTGTGATTGTCTGAGAGTGTCTCAGTTCAGTGGTCAGTCTATTCCCTACATGTCTAATAAATGAAAAAAGTTTCATACAGTAACTGGAAGTCAACTAGAATATATGCGACTTCACTTATTGTTCAATGTTGGGTTGATTCATGGGTGGATTTTCTAAACCTTTCATCTTTTATGGGTTGATTTTCTAAACCTTTTATCTTTTATGTTATTTTCCATTTATTCATCATTTTAATCTAATTTTTGGAAGGTGTTTCTAACTTTATATTTCAAACCTATTGAATGTCATTATTTCACTTATCTAATTATCTTCTTAGAATCTTTCTTGTTTTCAAATTATTTTTTTATTGAGACCAAAGAAGCTACATAAAATGTTACAAGCCTAAATTTGAACTGAAAGTTTCAATATCAATTTCATTTTGTTTTTGTTTTTAGAGACAGAATCTCACTCTGTCACCCAGGTTCAAACTCCTGGGCTCAAGCCGTACTCTTGCTTCAGCCTCCTAAGCAGCTAGGACTACAGCTGCATGCTGCCATGCCTGGCTAATATATTTTTTAAAAAATCTGTAGAGACTGTTTTGCCCAGGCTGGTCTTGAACCCCTGGCTTCAAGTGATTCTCCCACCTTGGCCTCCCAAAGTGTTAGGATTACAGGCGTGATGCTTGAATAGTAACAAGAGTTTTTGCAGGATAGTAACAGGCCTTCAGTTCTGTACACAAACAACAGTAATAGCAATTGCCTCAGGGAAGTCCAAAGAGGGTGAGTGGGTTGTTAACTTTTTCTCTATTCATTTTTGGATTGTTTCGTGTTTTATACCAAGCACATATTCCTTTTGTAGTTAATTTTAACCTTATAATAATTTCTGTTTACAGATCTTACATGTTGTGTTTAATGGGTTTTGGCAGTTTCACAACCTGCACAGCCACCATCTCGAACAAGCTAGAGGACATTTCATTGCACCAAGAAATATCCTGGGGTTGCTTTCCGGTCAACCCCACCCTCACCCAGTGACTGTGCTGACTTTTATTACCATACATTAGTTTTATCTGATCTCAAACATCCTGTAGAAAAGTCACACAGCATGTACTATTTTGAGTCTGGCTTCTGTCACTTAACATAATATTGCTGCATGTATTCCTTCCTTTTTATTAATAAATAATACTCTACTGTATAAAAGTATTAATTTTTTTATTCATTCTCCAATTGGTGGGCATTTGACTTGTGTTCAGGTCTTGACTATGGTGAATAGGCTGCTGTGAACATTCTACAAGTCTTTGTGTGGATGTATATCTTCATTTCTCTTGGGTAAAATACACAGAAGTGGAATGGCTGGGTCAAAGAGTGCATAGTTAATTTTTAATAACATAATTTGAAAAATAAAGCAAAAAGCTACAGCAATTACAAAAGGTGGTGGCCAGCCCAGGAATAAGCAAACACCAACTGCAGAGAATGGAGAATATAAGAATGTGTGTGCTTCCCATCTTCAGCCTCAAGCGGGCCCTCATGGCCACAGCCACCTCAGGAACCCTCCTTAGAACTCTTCAGTAACATTTGTAGGGGCCATTGATTTGAATCAGGCTCCTCTCCTGCATCCAGCAGACCAAGCCAATATGGAGTCACTCATGCTAAATGTCACTAATTTCCTTAAGAGTATACTAAGGCAACAAATAGCTGAGTTTGGTTAGTTAAGGCTTGAGCCTTATGTCATAGTAGGCAGTCAGCCGACCCAGTGAGATAAAACGCTGAGCTGTAGCCAACTTAGTTGTTCTTTTTGCTCCATGTTGGTTTTCTGTTCATAAATGCTGTCTGACCATGTGGCAGGCAGGAGTTCTCTGAACTTGTTCTAGTTCTAAGGGCTGCCCAGCTTGCAAGTTTTTTTCCCCTTAAATAAACCTGATAAATTTAAGCTTGCCTGAGGTTTTCCCTTTTCAACAGATCAGTGAATGTGAAGAAACTCAAAGAGGAGCATAGTGACCCCCAGGAGCAGGGGGTGGCAAAGCAAAGGCACCCACCAGGCCCATTGTGCCCACTGATCCCCTGGAACTGGGGATGGTGGATTGAGCCCTCTCGGATTCTGAGCTCCACTCATTCGGGTTCTGAGCTCTCTGAGCTTATTTGAGAAATTTGATCCAGACTGGGTTCAGAAATCTTCAAACTGGACTGGATCCTATAGAGGTTTCAGATGTCTGGCTGGGTCAAGAAGAAACTGAACTGGGTGTGGTAGGTAGGGTTCCTAGGAGATAGGGAATCATGGGTTCACTGGGATCCAAGGAGCTTAGAACTCCCCCATCTGGGACTCTAGTCAATTTCTTGTATATGAACTATGGACCCAGAATCAGGGCTTTTCTGGAGAAATGGGTGAGCCTTACCAAAAATAATTTAGAGTTACAGCAGCCACAGTGGGGAAGTTTGTTTGCTTGTTTGATGAGACAGAGTTTTACTCCTTTTACCCAGACTGGAGTGCAATGGTGCGATCTCGGCTCACTGCAACCTCTGCCTCCTGGGCTCAAGGGATTATTCTGTCTTAGCCTCCCAAGTAGCTGAGATTACAGGTGCACACCACCCCCCGCCCCCAGCTAATTTTTGTATTTTTTGTAGAGATGGGGTTTCACCCTGTTGCCCAGGCTTGTCTTGAACTCCTGGTCTCAAGTGATCCATCCCCCTCAGCCTCCCAAAGTGCTTGGATCACAAGGATGAGCCACTGTGCCTGGCTGAGAAGTTTTAATTTAGATAAAATTGTTTATTTTCAGGGAAAAATTAGAAATACAAAGAGAAAAAACCCACAAGAACAACGGAATGCATTTTTAATTGGTATGCAGAAACATGTAAAAGATTAAACAAAGAGTGTCTGACTTAAAGGTTTCTTCCCAGGAGACAAATAAAAAGCTTAATCAGCAAACTGAGGACCAGAGGAAGGAGGACTGCCGCTCATTGAATTGAATTAACTCTGACTGCTCCTTGCTGTCTTTGCCATTACTTCAATACCCTGAGTCCACTGATTGTTTTGCTCAAGTACCTTTCCATCTTGAGGAAAATGAAAAGGAGAGGTTGGACAACTGTCTTACAAAGTGAGACCCTCTGAACACCTAGGCCTGCCTGCTGTAACCACTTTTACTCCATGCTCTGAAGCTGAACTTAGAGCCTTCATAAGATACTTTCCTGATGCAAGAGAAAATCCTCAAATGTTTACCTAGGAATTTAGAATCCCCATAGGAGCTTATGATCCAGGAACTTCTGACTTTATCAATTTATTCACTTGATTTTGGGACTTGGTAAAGCTCAAAGGTGTATGAAAGCAGCAGAATAGAGAGAACCCGAGGGGATATTAAAGACCTTAAAAAACCTTCTTGCTACAACAAGCTGGAAGAACACTGAAAACCTTTTAAATTCAGTTCCTAAGTCTTCTCCACAAAAAAAGGATCCATCTGTCAGACAGTCTTGCAGGTGAAAAAAGGACGGACCCATTTCATATTGCAGAGCTGGTTTAGAAACACTATTTGTGAAACATTCTGCACTCAAAAGACAGCAAGGAGAATTTCCTGTAGGGACTAAAATGGCATTAACTGCTCTATTTATAAACAAACGTTGTCCCGAATTTAGCAGTTGCATTAAGAAGCATGAACTTGGATGGGGAATGACAGACATGGTTGAATTCGTGGCTTTAGCTGAGCATTTTCAAAGGACTCCAGAATAAGAAAAAGCACAAAAAGCTAATAAGCTTATGTCTTTTCAATTGCAACAATTACAGGGGCCAAAGCCAAAGGGACCATCTTCTCCTTGTTTTAAACCACAGCCTAAAGAACCTAGAGTAAGAAACCCTTCACCCCAAGATGTCTGCCTACATTGCAAACAGCCAGGTCCCTGGGAGAGAGGCTGCCTAGTCATCCAAGTCTACCAAGGAGCCTCCTCCTTTCAGCGGGGATGGTCTGCCCACTAGAGGGAGTCCATGAGATCACAATCAGCCTGGCTGCAGGAGGGACCCTCCAGCTAGCTGTTGCCTGTGATGCCTTTTGATAAATAATGAGAAACAGAGGCTAAGACAAGCAGGGAACGTGTACCATGCTGGTGAATATTGGGGCTACTTTATCTTTCACAAACCCCACTTTAATAAGCTGTTAAAGCAAACTAAATATGGCTTGAGAAGGACTCTGTACTTCTATGTTTGAGTCCTTGTGGATGAACTGCAACCTAACTTAATAGGTGGACAAGATTGAAAATCTAACTTAGGAGTATGCACCTGTAACAATCGCTGAGTCCTGGCCAATCCCAGCAGCCATACTTCAACCACCCATACACCACTCAGTGTTCAAACTGTGTTCAAATAAGGCAAACGCCGAGCTGTAACCAATCCAGCTGTTCTGTACCTCACTTCTGATTTCTGCAAGTCACTTCCTTTTTTTTTTTGTCTATAAATTTGTTCTGTCCACGAGGCAACCCTGGAGTCTCTCTGAATCTGCTGTGATTCTGAGGGCTGCCCAATTTGTGAATCGTTCATTGCTCAATTAAACTTTTTTAAATTTAATTTGGCTGAAGTTTTTCTTTTAACATGGTGTCAGAAGCGGGATCCAAAGTACAGCTTCTAGCGACCCCCAGGAGTACTGAGTGAACAAGCAAGGTAACTGCAGGACCTATTTGTGTCCATTGATCTCTCAGAATGGCTGGGGATCGTGGGTAAATTCTCTCTCGGATTTCGGAGCTCCATGGATTTGTGTTTTGAGCTCTCAGTTTCTTTGAGCAAATTTCTGATCCAAGCTGGGTTTGGAAGTCATGACAGAAACTGGACTGGGTCCAGGAATGGATTTGATCTGGGAATTAACTGGCTTGGATCCAGTTAGAGGACTCTTACATCTGACTGGGTCAGAAAGGAACTGGTCATAAATGGTAATATTGCAGGGGGTGTAAAATTTGGCTTTTAAAAATTTTCAGGGATTTTTGTATTCTACTCTTTTGTTTCATTTTTCTTGTGCGTTTAGGTGGGAAAAAAAATTCATTGGCTAAGTTAATCTAGGAAACCTGATAGTAAAGCCAATGTTTTAGGTAAAAATGGGATCCTTAATTTCTGGAAAACCAAGTTCCTTCTGGCTTATACATTAGGCCCGGGAGGCAGCAAAGTCTTACAGAAACAGCGAAACGTTACTAAAGATAACTTACAGTGGTACATTCCAAATAAACAACAAATACACTAGAGTGCATTAATTTTTTTTCTTTTGTGTTGCAGCAGGTCCCTGAAACAAACAAACAAACAAAAACTGGATTAGGTCTCCATCTTGTTTTATGTCATTGGTAGCTTGAACTTGTAACTTCGTGGTGGTACTTTCTCTTGGTCTCTGCCTTCCAGGGGATAGGAATTTTAGGGTTCATGTCACAGCAAACTCTAAAAATTATCTTGAGTAGTTGAAAGGCTTTGCAAGCTCAAAATTAACTACTCTAGACTCCTTCTGGGAAGGGCGATGGAGACTGCCCAGTATTGTAGCTCAGTAGCTAAGGTTTTGTCCTTTCACATTGGTGGCCTGGGTTTGATTCCAAGCTTAGAGAATGAGTACTTTCTGGTTAACACCTGTGTGACTTTTACCACTTCCTGATTTTCTTCCCATCCATGAACAACCTCTAGCTTCCCTTCTTAAATCTTCCTTTCTCTGAGCTACCTTTAAAAATTCCAGGTTTTGTAAAAACTGCTTACCACCTCTTTGAAAATACCTAGTACACTTGTGGTTAAGTCATATCCTTAGTTGAGCTTTGTTGGTTTCATCTGTAAGGTTACCATTGGTAAAGTTCAGAAGCCAGAAATATTGGCCATTTGGCCTGGCTAAAGTCAGGTAATAAGAAATTTAAAAGGAGTTTTTAGAAAGAGCACTATGGTTAAAATTCAGCTTAATTAAAAGCAGATATTCAAGCTCTAACAGCCTTGGGCTCTTTGGGAAAAATAAGAGGTGCCAGAGACCCCATTTTGGAAAAAAAAAAAAAAAAAAGCTGTTTTCTTCATGGAATCCCAGGCATTGGAAATGGATAGATCCCTCTCAAAATCTAAGGCTCTGTTCTTTAGACCAGACCAAATGGTATAAAAATGAGACCCTTAATTTTTGAAGGTCGGTTTTGCCTTCCAGCTGTGACTGCTTATTATATTAGGCCCTAGAAACTGCATGCTTTCCTGGCCCTGTCCTTCCAAGGACTCTACCCTAAACCCAGTAATCCAATTAAGAGACATAGAAACTACTGGGTCTTCTTTTTTTTATTTTTTATTATACTTTAAGTTCTAGGGTACATGTGCACAATGTGCAGGTTTGTTACATATGTATACATGTGCCATGTTGGTGTGCTGCACCCATTAACTCGTCATTTACATTAGGTATATCTCCTAATGCTTTCCCTCCCCTCTTCCCCCACCCCATGACAGGCCCCGGTGTGTGATGTTCCCCTTCCTGTGTCCAAGTGTTCTCATTGTTCGGTTCCCACCTATGAGTGAGAACGTGCGGTGTTTGGTTTTTTGTCCTTGCGATAGTTTGCTGAGAATGATGGTTTCCAGCTTCATCCATGTCCCTACAAAGGACATGAACTCATCCTTTTTTATGGCTGCATAGTATTCCATGGTGTATATGTGCCTCATTTTCTTAATTCAGTCTATCATTGATGGACATTTAGGTTGGTTCCAAGTCTTTGCTATTGTGAATAGTGCCACAATAAATATATGTGTGCATGTGCCTTTATAGCAGCATGATTTATAATCCTTTGGGTATATACCCAGTAATGGGATGGCTGGGTCAAATGGTATTTCTAGTTCTAGATCCTTGAGGAATTGCCACACTGTCTTCCACAATGGTTGAACTAGTTTACAGTCCCACCAACAGTGTAAAAGTGTTCGTATTTCTCCACATCCTCTCCAGCTCCTGTTGAGAAACTACTGGGTCTTCTTTTGTTCTGCCTGTGTAGTTATATATGTGTTGAGTGTGTAATGTTTATATAAGAGAGCTCTAATTAATTGGCCTAAAGAAAAATATGTGCTTAAATCAAATATTTTGTCAGGAAAGTAAAAACTGTAATGTCTTAGTTTATATAACTTTAGTAATCTTTGGGAAATAAAAACAGCTTTAAAGATTATTGGTAAAATAAAGATATTTGGTCTAATATAGACAGGTCAGATATTAGATTTGCTAAATGCTTTAAGGTTATAAACTGCTTTGACTTTTGAAATTGTTCAACTTACCTACTTTGGAGACATTAGATTCTAGATAAGGCCTGGGGACATGTGGAATTAGCCATGCATCTTGGCTATGCAAAGAAGGTTATACAGAAAAGAGATTTTATATAGGAAAGGATCTCGCATGGTAAATTTTTGTCCTAAAATAAAATAACTAGTTGTTTAAAAAGAGGGATGTTTAGGACAAGTCAGAAAGTCCAAGCATGTTGTAGATGGTCTGTGTACATTGTGAAAGGATTCATGAAAAGAAATTTATGCACCAAAAGTAAAAGTTGCTAAAAGTTACCATTGTAACATATAATTAAAACTACTAAAAAATAGTTTTACATGCAAGGTATGTGAGGAGAGTGAAATGTGTTTTTGGTAAAAGATTATAAGAAGGGATGGAAATGTAAATTTTTGCCTAGTTTAGAGGGCTAAAGGATTGTTTCAAATTAGATAAGAAAAAGCTAAGGGTCTGAACAAGTTGCGGAAGTTTTCTAAAAATTAATCTGGTAAAAATATTCTGTGTTTGAACATATTGACTAAATTTAAAGGGGTATTATTCAGTTTTTCCATAAATCGAACATTGAAATAAAAGCACAAATGGTTTTCTTGAAGCACTGATCTGCTCTTTTACAAAAATTGTAGAGGGTGATAAAAGGTTTATAAGAATCTCACCTCATGGTTAAACTGATTAAGCATAATACCAAGTGTTTTAAACCTTTAACATATTTGATAGGCTTTCCAAAATCAAATTTCAGCTTCAAAATAGTCTTTTCTGACCTTAACTTTGGGATGCTACAGAGAGCCGCTGAAGCATCCAAAAGAGAGGTAAACAGGATTATTTGATATGTTATTACATAGGAAGCCTTGTCAAAGAAATAATGTTTAACCTTCTTCAGATTACATTTAGTGAATGATACTAATGTATATTCTAAAATTGTATGGGATTTCTAAAATTCTAATATGTCTGAGTATATGCTATCAATCATAATTATGGTTATTATGTTAAGTTACTGTAGACCACAGAAATAACCAAATTACTATTTATATTGTGCCTTTGACTATTAGTATTTAAAGTCATTTCCACAGTTAATTGCTTAGTGCTGATGCAGTTTTTGAAAACTTCACAAGCACGTAAAATCCTAGAATATGGTGTCTTTTAGGAGACTCATGAAAGGATGAAATGGACCCTAAAAAGCACTCTGGAGTGCAGGTTTCTAATAACTTTAGAATCATTTGAATTGGGTAAGAATTCCTGGAACTTTAATGAAAAGACTGACTAGGTTATAAAATTGCTAACCTAAGTAGAACAAAAATTAATTAAATATCAAGAAAATACTTTGTCAGATTTTCACAGTAAATCAGCCAATACTGAAATTTTTTAGTTATACAATTTGAATGAAATGCATGGTCTACTTCAAATTGCCTATTATGACCCATCAGTTATCAGTGCTATGCACCTAATTTGGAAAAACAACTGGTATTCAAGAGAATATAACTCTGATGTTAATTAAGCATGGACTCATGGAGAACCAGGATGGCTGCCTTGTCCTTCCTGAGCCCAGCCGAAAGAAACATGGGACCATGAGGACACTGTAAGCTTTGAATGACATGCTGAGACCAGAAACCCAAAATGATGGTAACTGAAAGTGGTGCTACGGCCCTAAGTTTTGGTTACACTCTCACTTAAGTGAGAACCCAGCAAAAAGGGGGATTTTTTTAAAAAAACAAAATTATAGGAGGCCAATTGTTTTGGACTGAGCTCATGCACTAGACTCCAACAGACCAAACCAAACAAAAATGGAGTTGCTTATACTAAATGTGACATAATTGAGCTAAGACTTTAAGGAAGGACACAGATCCTAGACTAGAACAGACTAGGTCTGTTTTTCTCTTATAGATAGTGACATCAATGACTAAAGTTTTGGTCAATCTCTCAAAACTGAGAAAATGACCAAAAGGGGGAATTATTAAAGCAAACTAAATATGGCCTGAGAAGGGCTCCATACTTCTATATTCAAGTCTTGTGGATGAACTGTAACCTAACTTAGTAGGTAGACAAGATTGAAAACCTAACTTAGGAGTATGCACTTGTAACAGTCGCTGAGTCCTGGCCAATCCCAGCAGCCATACTTCAACCACTCACACACTGCTGAGCATTCAAATTGTGTTCAAATAAGGCAAACTCCAACCTGTAGCCAGTTCAGCTGTTCTGTACCTCACCTCCGATTCCTGTATGTCACTTCCCTTTTTTGTCTATAAATTTGTTCTGACCCTGAGGCATCTCTGCAGTCTCTCCAAATCTGCTGTGATTCTGGGGGCTGCCCGATTCACGAATCATTCATCACTCAATTAAACTCCTTTAAATTTAATTCAGCTGAAGTTTTTCTTTTAACAAGCTGACAAATCCCTGAAAGTGGAAAGGTCATTTCTGTGGTGGGGGTTTTGAATCAGACACAATAGTACCCATGTCGGAAACTGTCCAGTTGATGCTGGGGCCATTTTCAGAAAAGTGAACCTTCTTCCTATGTGACACTCTTCTAGTAACTCACTAGGGCAAGACTTATCTGCTAAGCTAAAGAGGCATATGAAGTTTCCTGCAGAGCAGGAGTTAATGTTAGAATTTCCTGACCTCCTGAACGAGATCTGTTGTGCTCTCCACAGGCAGAAACTGACAAGATCAAAACTCAGGCCTGCAATATCTTTGATCTCTCTAAAATACCCAAATGTTTATAGGCTTCTTCCTTTACTGATATAGGAAGGGTTAAAAGTATGGTACCTATAAAAGTCTAAACCGATCATTCTAAACCTTTATGTAAATTATCCTAATATTTACTGAGGCCTGGGCAATTCAAGGACTCTCATCAATTGCAGAAGATTTAATTAAACAAGGACTTATTCTATGTATCAGTCCTTGTAATATTCCAGTCTTACCAGTTAAAAAAAATCAAGGGACAAGGATGCACAAGGAGGGAGATTTGTTCACGATTTACGAGCACTTAATAAAATCGTGATACCAAGGTTTCCTGTGGTTCCAAACTCTAACACTTGATTGTCCAGTGTGCCCATTGATTCAGAATGGCTCACAGTCATAAGCCCCTGTCCAGCTTTCTTTAGCATTCTAGCTGAGAAAGAGAGTCAGTATTTGTTCGCTTTTTACTTAGAAAAATCAAAGTATACCTGGACTGTAATGCCACAGAGGTTTCCTGAAGCGCCTCCTTATTTTTCCCAGGCATTACACCAGGACTTGACAACCTTGCAATTTCCTTGAAATTCTCCCCTCATTTGGCATGTAGATTATCTCTTGCTTTGCTCTCCCACTAAAGTGTGGTCTAAAATGGACTTACTTCACCTCTTACAGCAACTTGCACATAAAGGTCACAAAGTTTTGATGGAAAGCCTTCAGTTTTCAAGGAGAAAGTTTCACTCTAAGGCATGACCTGACTGTGGAAAGGGTTTCCAAAAGAATAAAAACCACTCAAGGTTTTCCCTGGCCTACAGCTAAAAGACAGTGAAGAGGTTTTCTGAGACTTGCAGGATACTGCAGATCCTGGGTTCCAAGCTTTTCCTTAACCATCTCACCATTGTATGAGCTCACTAAGAATGCAGCACCAGAACCTGCACCATGGGAGGGCAGTCAGGAGTAGGCTTCTCACTGGCAGAAACCGGCCTTACCGCAGCCCCAACCTTAGGACTTCCAAATTGCACTAAACTTTTCACCTTGTTCATTCATGAACATGGCAATCAGGCATGAGGGAAAACAATAGGCCCATTGCACATTACAGCTGGCAGTCAGCCCCCGCAGCTGAGGCACATCCTCACCACTAAAAGCAGTAGCCACAGCTGCCATATCAGTAGAGTTTTAACCTGAGTTAGTCTTAGGGAATGAACTTTTACGCAAGCCCCACATGTTGTGGAAAATTTATTAAATTCCAGTCAAATTCAGCATTTTTCAGCAAGTAGATTGTCATCTAATGAAATCCTTTTGCCTCCCAATCTCCATCTAAGCTGTTGCACTCTGCTACCTCTGGCTGATTACAGTGTGAGTGTGGTATCTCAATCAGTGGTCTAGCATGCTGCTTTATGAAGCACTCCATTAGCTAATCCCAAGGCGACATTTGTTTGTTGATGAGTCTTGGGCTGAAAACTCAGAAGGAAAATGTCAGGTGGGGTATGCTGTTACCACTCAAAATGAATTAATAGGAAAGGAAACTCTTCCCCAATTTAAATCAGCCTAACCTGCAGAGCTTTTTGCTTTTACCTGAGATTGTCACATAGTTAAGATAAATCAGTAGATATTTTTAGATAGCAGATATACTTTAGAAGTACTTCATAATTTCAGCATGTTATGGAAACAAAGGGGGCTTCTCACTTCCAGTGGGATCCCCATCAAAAATGAACTCCAAATAAATGAACTCCTTTCTGCCATCCTGTTACCATCACAAACTGCCATTATTAAAATCAAAACACCTACTTATAAAACTGCACCTGAGTATCAAGGGAATGCCCTGGCAGATGTTCATGCTAAGTCAGCCAGTACTAAAATTGTTAGGATGTGTAATTTCAATAAACTCCATAAGATTGATCAAAGTCAGCTCCTCTATGATGACTTACTTAATAAACAGTGCAGTGCACCAATTTGGAAAAACAAAATTGGTATCTGAAAACACGTAAATTCAGCGTGAAGTGTGGACCCATGGAGGCCCTGGATAGCCACTTGGTCCTCTCTGAGTCCTTGAAGCTTCCGTTGTTAAGGGCTCTGCACTCCATAGCTCATTACGGTGATCCAAATTACGAAAAATATTGGTGGGGTGATTGTTCTAAAATTGCTAAAAGAGTTGATAGCCAATGTTTGATTTGTCAAACCCATAATCCTGGGAAGACAATGAAAGCTTCAGGTGGTGTATTTATTTCTACCACATGATGAACCATTTGAATATTTGCAGATGAACTTCATTCAACTTCCACCCTTGATGGGATATCAGCATGTTATTGTAATAGTTTGCATGTTCTCTGGTCAGATAGAAGCTTTCCCATGTAAGAAAGCTGATGCTAGGATAGTTGCTAATATGTTATTAGAAATGTGTTTCCTTTCTGGGGCGCCCCTGGAGAAGAATCTCCTGCAACAGAGGAATCTATGTTACTGGACAAACTCTAAAGCAGTTAAACAAGGTATTGCAAACACAATGACACTATCATTGTCCCCATCACCCTCAATCTTCTAGAAAAGTTGAAAGAACAAATGGCATTTTAAGAAACTGAAATTGACAACTGAATCAATTGGATTGCCTTGGCCAAAGGCACTACCATTGGCTTTGCGGGGAATCAGATTCACTCCCAGTGGAAAACATAGACTGAACCTTTATGTAGTAGTTATTGGAGGCCTGTGCCCTTAAAAATAGAACTCATGTATCTCCCACTCTCCTCAATTCTGATATAACTAAATAATGTAAGGCTTTCATGTATTATGCCAAAGTATATTCTCACCAGATAAAAGAAACTTTCCATGATCCATGAGCTGAGAACAATCAAGTCCCTCACAGTTTAGAACCTGAAGACAAGGTCTTCTGGAAAAGACATCAAAGAAAGATTGCCCTGGAACCCTGTGGGTAGGCACCACAGCAAGTTCTTCTCACTACCCACACTGCAGCCAAGCTTTGGGGCCTTGAACCTTGGCTGGGTTCACAACTCACAGCTCAAACGGCCTCTCAAGTTTCCTGGAAGTGCACACCTGTTGTAGACTTTAAGGTAAAGCTGGCCATGGGGAAATTTTCCTGGAAGCAGATGACATGTTAGATATGAACAGTTTTCCCAATACGTGGGAACTAAACTCTTCTCTTAATGAGACGCTTTCCCTGTTGAGTTTTCCTCGTTTATGCCTACTTTTTTACTTGGAAGGATACTTCTGTAGTTAGAAATTCACCATAAATACAAAATGTTGAATTTTTTTTCTGCTAATCCAGAACTTTACATGATCTAAGGGATCCATTAGTTCACTTAGTGATTAACTTTAGGAACATACCTAATGCAATTGCCTATTTAAATTGTATTTGTGGTCCCTTTTATAGAGCTGGACTTCTGGCCCACAAAACTCCTGCTTTGATTTGGCCCAGTCATGGGATGCGAGATGGCTTATCAGCTGAGCAAGGAGGAGTCGGTGCTGATGCTTTTTGTTGCATATGAATAAATACGTCGGGTACTGTACAGACTCAGTCACAAAAAAACAACAAACAGGCTATTTGGTTAAAATGGGTGCACTCTTCATTTGGTGTATTGTTTGATCTATTCGACTGTAGTTGATTTGTTTCATGGGGACCCTGGGTAAGGGGCATACTTTAAACTCTTGGTATCATGCTCCCAATAGTCATAATAGTAGTCTTCCTGGTGCATTGTATTCTTTCAAAAATTTTTAAATGTTTGCATGCAGCTATCTGTTAAACATTAAATGGTATCTATTTATTGGAATGACAAAAATCCTCAAAAGTATGATCATGAGGACTATGAATAAATGACACGTTGAGACTGAATATCTAAAATGACGGTAAGTGGGAGGAGCGCTGATGCCCTAAGTTTTATTCACATTCTTACTTAGGTGAGATCCTGACCAAAAGGAAGGGGTTGTTAAATTAAATTTGCAGGAGGCTACTGATTTGGAGAAAGCTCCTTTACTGGGCCCAACAGACCAAGCCAATATGGAGTAATTCCTGCTAAATGTAACTAACTTAGGAGCACAGTGGTCTCTCGGTATCTGCAAGGCATTGGTTCCAGGACCACCTGCGGATACCAAAACCCGTGCATACTGAAGTCCCACAATTGCCTCTGTGAAACCCATGAATACGAAAAGTTGGCCCTTTGCATACACAGGTTTCACATTCCACAAATGCTGTATTTTTGATTTGTATTTGGTTGTAGATGCAGAAACTGCCAATATGGAGGGCCAACTGTATTTATTTTAAAAATCCTGCAAACATGGACCCGCACAGGTCCAACCTGCGTTGTCCAAGGATCAAATGTATACTCATGTCACAAATATCTGACTTTCAGTTAGTAACAGGCAGCCGGCTGCTTCAAGTGAGATACAATGCTGAGCTGCAACCAATTAAGTTGTTCTTTTTGCCTCACTTCCACTTTCTGTCCATAAATGCAGCCTGACCGTGTAGCAGCCAGGAGCTCTTTGAACCTGTTCTGGTTCTGAGGGCTGCCCAACTCACAAATCTTTTTTTTTCTTCTCAAATAAACTCTGACAAGTTTAAACTTGCTTAAGGTTTTTTTCTTTTTGACAGAGCCGTTGTCACCCGAACCTCTCGTTCAGACTCCTCACCTCCACCTTCTGTTCTGGGTCTGCTCTTTTAGTCTCCGGTTCAACTGCTCCAGCACGACCCTCTCATTGGTCTTAAAGGGCCCTTGATAGTTTCCCTCAATTCACCAGCATTTTCCTCGTCCAGCTCAGAATCTGCAGTCCAAGACTGCCCTTTGATTTTCACTGAAACCATCTGGGTCAGTCTTGGGTAAACTCAGAGATGGGTTTCCTTTTCCTCCGTGCCTGCTTCTTGAGTAGTCTGATGCTTCTGGGGTCTCAAACGCGCAGTTTCGCCCCACTGTAAACTGAGGTGTGCCTTCAATACGGCCCAGGGTCCTTCCACCGCTCTCCCATTCCCCAATCCCACAAGGACTGCTCGAGCTTCCCTCTCCTGCATCCCACCTCGGGAGATGACCTTACTCCACTCTTTAGAGAGAGAAGGAAAGCCACAAGGGGGGATCTTGTACCAACATGAACCATGGGTAAAGAAACCCCACCGTCCATCTAGCTACCCACCCATCCATCCTCCCACCCTCCCTTCCTTCCTTCTGGTTATGATGCTGTTCAAGCCACCTCGGAATCTGCTTTTGGACATCTTCCCTTCCCCCCGTTTTTAGGAACCACAGACACTACTGATTCTCCCCTTTCTTTCTTGTACATTCAACTTTTCCTTCTCAGCTGAGTCTTTCTCAATAGCTTTTTACACTCTTAAGTCTCTCTCATTACAGCCTTTCCCCGTTCCCACCATGACCTTCTCTTGTTACCTTCCCCTTCCCAGCCAAACACTTCGCAGTGTGTGCTCCAGGAATGGCAGCAGCCTCTCCTCGATCCCCGCTCCCCCTGAGCAGCCCTGGGTGCCTGTTCCTGGATGGTTCCAACTTCAGAGCTCCACAGTGACTTTGCCCTCCCAGCGTCCGTGCAGTTTCAGGTGGTGGCGGCTGGTGCTACTGCTGATCTCCAGCTGCCTCACCACTTCTTTTTGCCCTGCAGCATTTCCAGCACTTTTGCAGCTACTTCACATGGAGCTCCCTCCACTGAGCAACATGAGGTGGGCTCTCCACTGACTGGACAGTGCCACTCATCTGCGGATCCCTCTGGTCCACTCCCCACCCTTCACGGGGCCTGGTGCTTGGAGTCTGACCTGGGAGGGCTGCAGCCCCAGGCCTCTCTACCTCTGACTTGCAGAGACTTAGCCATTGGAGGGTCCTGGAAGGACATGAGGTGAGGGAGGGAGCTGGGTCTTCCCTGCTCCCTGTTATGATCACAGTTGCCGCATCTCCCAAGCAGTCCCTACACGCTGCACTCCTCTGGGTTCCATGAAGTTCTCCACACCCCAAGCCCTCAGGCTCAGGGTCAGGGTCAGGGTCAGGGTCAGGTTCAGGGTCAGGGTCAGGGCCCTGCTGTCCCTGGCCCTGGGCCATGGCACCATCCTGTGCTCCCCAACCAGTGCCACGTTCTGCTCACTTGTCTTGCACATGCCTGCGCTGAATCCTGGGTGGGTGATTTCCTCACACTTAGTGGCCAGCCCAGGCCCAGGGCCATCAGGGACAGAGCTTCCAAGAAGGCCCAGTTGCTCCTTTCAGCTTTCTGATGCTACATGAGCTTTTCCAATGCAATTATGGTGATGGCTGATGGAAACTGATTTTTTAAAGTTATTATTTTTAATTGTGGTAAAATAAACATAACCCAAAATTTACCATTTTAACTATTCTTTAGTGCACAGTGCTATGTTTTTAAGAGCATTCACACTGTCGTGCAACCATCACTGCCATCCATCTCCAGAACTTTTTCAACTGAAACTCTGTCCCCATTAAACATGAACTCCCCATTCTCCCCTCCCCATGGCCCCTGGCACCCCCCATTCCACTTTCTGTCTCTATGAACATGAGTACTTTAGGGACCTCATAGAAACAGAACCATTTGTCCTATTGTGGCTGGGTTAACTCAGTTAGAATAAACTACTCAAGATTCCTCCATGTTGTAATGTGTGTCAGAATTTTCTTCCTTTTTAAGTCTGAATAATACTCCAGAATATTGACTTTTTAAAGATGTTTTTACTTTGCAAAATAAGAAAATGAGAATCTAATATCAGTTACTGGAATGCTGTTGAAATTGCCCTGGCCTATGAAATCAGAACATCTTGTTACCACTGGACAACAGAGTGAAACCCACAGTCTGCACCCCATGTTGTGGCCTCGTGACCCCTGACTTTGCCAGCTTCTCTCCTGCAGCTGCAATGCTTTCTCCTGATTCCTCAAAAACAACCCACATCCCCACCTCCATGCACCAATGCATCATTCTTACATTCTCTCCAACTGGAACGTTTCTTATTTTTTGCTGGTTAAAGTCATCACAGTCTTACTGGGCCTTATCTCCCAGGTGAAGCCTGAAGTACCCAGACCCGCTTTCTTCATGTCTCACCTCTGTGATGGTTCACATCCCCTCCCACCTTTCATATCTGCCACCTGTGCATTCATCTCCCCCATAGAGGTGCGAGCACCTGGAGTAGAGACACC
Organism: Homo sapiens; assembly: GCF_000001405.40. NCBI lineage: Eukaryota > Metazoa > Chordata > Mammalia > Primates > Hominidae > Homo > Homo sapiens. Next base: position 126,185,353 of record NC_000003.12, on the reverse strand, counting down.
GTCCCTGCCTCCTCTTTGCTCATTTATTCCTTTACAGTGAGTTTCTGGGGGCCATGTGCCAGCCAGGTGCTGGCACCAGCCAGTTTGCATGGGGGTGCAAACACGCAACACCCCCAGGTTAGATTTGGCATGGGGCTGGAGAGGACCTGGCAGGAGCAGGGCTGTAAGCTCTGTGGCCCAGAAGCATTCCATCTATGTCTGCAGGTCATCAGGTGGGCTCTGGTGTGTGGCACAGAGCTCTGTTAAGTCTCATCCCTACCTTCGCCTCTACATGAAAAATTGCATGCAGGCCCTTTAAAGGGGGAAATATGGAGAAAACCATTTTGAATTCTTGGTTCCCACTGGGGAGAGGTTCTAAGGGGTGGGGATCAGGTGACATCATGAGTAACTCACGAGGCAGGGTAGAAGCATCTGAACGAGGCATCCTAGGAGATAAAGAGAAACACTGGCTCCAAAATTAAAACAAAACAAAACAAAACAAAAACAAGCCCAGGTCACTTGGCCTCCCCGCTTTGATTTCCCACAGGCTATGACCTTCAAGTTAATGTTTCCTTTGCAGCGTACACACAGTCCCAGTTACTGATTCCCCAAAAACAAGCTGAATCATCATTATACAACAGAAAGAGAACCCATGTCTATCCCATCCCCCATTCACAGAGCCCTGAGCCAGGCTTGTCTCCTAATCTGCCTCTGGATTGGAGCAGTAGCCCCCATTGTTCTACCCAGACTTGGGCTGTGTAAGTGCACACTGCTTTCCCTGGGAGGACTTAGCCACCAGGGCCCTGCGGAAAGCCCGGGCAGAGGCTCTCTCTGCAGGGCTTATCCAGCCACTGTCACTGCAGGTGCCTCTCCTGGATCAGGGCCTGTGCAGGGCTGTGGGATACACAGATGAAACAGGCCCTGTCCCTGCCCTCAGAGGTGTTGCAGTTGATAAAGAGACAGACACACATATAAATAGTTGCATTAGAGTGTGGTCTGTGCTGTGAGTGAGGGAATTCCCAAGGAGAAGGTTGGGGTCAGGCTTCCCAAAGGAGATGATGCACAAGCCCATCCCTGGGGCACAGGCAGGGCTCAGCTGGTGGCTTCAAGAAGCAGGGCATTCCCGGCACAGTGAACTGAACTGGCAAAAGAGGGTTTCAGTGGGACTCGTTCAGAGAGTATCATATAGTCCTGGGACAGGGACAAGCTGGCTTCTGCCACTGTCTGACCTCAAGCCTCAGCTTCTCTCTCTGGTCTATGAAAGGATGGATTCGGAAATCACACAGTTACTTCCACCATCTTTCATGTGTTAAAAGGAAGTCACTACGTTCAGCCTACATTCAAAGGCAGGGGAATTAAGTGCCACTCCTTGAATGGAAGAGCATCAGAGAGTTTTAAAATGACCACAGTCCACCTACTGGCCACAAACTACTTACATCCTTCCACATGCAAAATACATTCGCCCTCCAAACATCCCCTCAAAGCCTCATCCCACTGTAGAATCAGCTCAATATCCAGAATCTCTGCATCTAAATCAGGCTTTGATGTGGGTGAAGCACCTGGGGTATTATTCCCTCAAGTGTAGCTCCTTGAGTAGAGTTGCTCTCAATCTACAGACTTAGGAATTCCAGAGACAAATTAACTGCGCCTCCCCCCTGCACCCACCTGACATAAACTGGTGGGATAGGCATTGGATAACCACTGTAGACGTGCCTGCTCCAAAGGGAACAAGGACAGGAGGCATGCAGGAGTAACTAGTGTACGGCAATTCTAAAATCTTCCTGGGCGGGTCCTGAAAGTCTCTTGAATAGGACTCAGTCTGACTCTGGCCCCAGAGTGATTCTCCACGCTCTTGGCTCCACCCTTTGGGTTCTTTGTTCTATTCCCCAAGTCATCCCTTCTTTTCCATGAAATGCAGCCCAGGTTCATATCCGTATAGTTTCTCAGCTTGCTTCCTCCCAGAATTTGGGGGAGTCTAGAGGTCTCTTTTCATTTTATATTGTCTCTGACCCTTTCAGTCCAAGTCTACACTGTTTTGCTCATATAATTCTTTTAAAAATGTTGCATGTCTCCTGTAGATCTCACTGAGGTTCATGCCTTTAGACAACTGTCAAACCCACACATCTCTTTGAGAAAAGCCCTTCTCTCTCTTGGGCTTCTGCTGAGACTGCTGTCAAGGACAACTGTAAGCTTCTTAGAAATCCTACTATTTAACAAAATATTCTGAGGTGTCCCTTTGTTCTCTTTGAAGATTTTACAAAAGATCTCATGACCACACTCTTGGCTTCATCTTTAGGCCATCTTCCTTGCACTGGCCTGCATTTGCTCTTTGCCTGGAAGCCATTTGTTAGTTTTAGCATCATATGACATCTGGAGAAGCTGGACATTTTCACAGCCCAAGTTATGGTTCCTTTTTATTTAACAATCCTTCCTTTGGCTTATGTCCCTTCTCTCACATTTTAGTATAAGCAGCAAGAAGAAGCCAGGAGGAGGCACCTTCAACAATCTCCTTAATGAGATCCCCCAGTTCATCTGGTACATTTTCTACTTTCCACATGATTTCGGAACACTTTCTGCTTAAAATTCCCTCCTCTCCTGCTCCATACCTCTAAGAGTATGGATTCCTCTCTGATTTCCTAATACATCTTTTTGGGGTGTCTAACCTCCAAGCCATTGTTCAGTGGTTCCTGTCGCCCATCTGCCTTCTCAATTTTAACTCCCAAGTTCAGAACACACCACTTTCCCATTGCAGGCCCCTAACACTCAGCCAGTTTTCCTACAGATTATATGGCACACCTTCCACACACAGGGCATGCATTCAGCCCTGGGGACTTCCCAGGAGAATAAGCTAGTCTTCGCCATCATTGTCCAGAGACATGTTAATCAAGCAATCCCAGAAGCAGTGATAAAATTGCAGTTGAAGGCAGGGTGCAGTGGCTCATGCCTGTAATCTCAGCACTTTGGGAGGCTGAGGTAGGTGGATCATCTGACGTCAGGAGTTTGAGACCAGCCTGGCCAACATGGTGAAACCCCGGTGAAACGTCTACTAAAAATACAAAAATTAGCTGGGTGTGGTGGCGCATGCCTGTAATCCCAGCTACTCAGGAGGCTAAGGCAGGAGAATCGCTTGAACCTAGGAGGTGGAGGGTCCATTGAGCTGAGATTGCACCATTGGACTCTAGCCTGGGTGACAGAGTGAGACTCTACCTCAAAAAAAAATAAATAAATAAAGTTGAGAGAGGTTCATGAAGAAAAATTACAGGCCTCTCTGTGATCACATAATGGAGGAATCTGTCCTAGTAAGGCTGAGGCTAGGGAAAGCTTCCCTGAAGTCATGGCATTTTAGTAGGAACTTCCTGAAGAATGATGGGGGTTCTCTGGACAAAGATGAACGGCACATGGAAACTTTATGAGTCGAGAAGTTCCACAGATATGAGGGACAGCAGGGAGACCTGCAGGCTGGAGCCTAAAGAACAAGGGGACAGTGCCTGAAAGTAGGCTAAGTGGATCAGCAGGCACAGGCCACCTCAATCCTGGGTGCCCATACTGGCTTATGTGAGCAAAATACATGCATTAAGCCATTCAACAAACATTTATTTAGCAACTGCTACAAGCCATCACTGTGTATTGGGGATACAACAGTGAATACATCTCACAAATTTCCTGTCCTCAAAGAGCTTACAGTCTAGTGGGAGAGACAGACAATGAACAAACAAAGAAACAAGGAAATATCAGATATACAGTTAAGTGCTGTGAAGGAAATAGAACAGGGTGATGTGGCAGGGAGTGGCTGAGGGACTTCCTTAGTTTGTGTGACCTGGAACAGCCTCTCTAAGGCTCTGCATCAGATATCTGATATGTGATACCATATGGGAGCAGGCTCTGAAAGAACACTACAAGTAGAGAGGTAAAGGCAGGGGCTGCAGCAAGCCTGATGTGTTCAGGCACTGAGCAGAGAGAGGGCCAGGTGGTCGGGACTTAGCGAGAGGGTCGCCTCAAAAGAAGTGAGGCTTAGCAGGGCACGGAGCAGTGCGGCCGCAGGTGTGGTGGGAAGGGTGTTCCAGGAGAAGGAGCCACCTGGACACAGGCTTGCAGTCATGAAACAATACGCAATTATCACTCCCGGCATTCTACATGGCCTTGCCTGAGACCGGGCTGGCCAGGATCTCTGGGAACCAGGAGGAGGGGTCTGCGGCACCAGGACTGAGTAGAAGGGAGAGAGTGGAGAAGGGGAATTGCAGAGAGAAAACCAGGGGCTGTTTTTCTCTCGGAGAGGCGGGTAGGCACTGGGCGGGCAGAAGCGCCGCTATCCACCCGGATGCGCAGCTGCTAAGGGGCCGCCTCTGCAAGCGGCTGCAAATTCCCGGAGGGCAGCGTCTCCTTTCGCTCTGCTGTGTCCGTAGCACATGGCAGGTACTTGGCCCATCAAGAGTGAGAGAGGGTGAGCGAGTGAGTGAGTCACCGGCTTGGCGAGGGTCTCCTCTGACCCACTTAGCCTTGCCAGCGCTCAGAACTGCCAGCCCTGCTGGGTGCTTGGGACTTTTCAAAGCCCTGGGAATTCTCCAAGGGTCCACAGTAAGTCTTCTTGACCTAAGCGGGAAAGAGCGCAGGCCCCTGCGGGGTTGGCTTTTACATGGCATTTATAGACCCGCCCGGAGAGGGTGCGCTGCGCTCCCGCCATAGTCCCACCACCGGTGAGCGCCGCCCCCACTCGGCTGACTCTCCGCCCGCCCCGCGCCCCTCCCCTCACGGGCTCTGGCCTTAACCAGAGCTCGCGGACTGGCGGGGACAGGTCCCACCTCCTGGCTCCCAGGACGGGTCTGCACCAACCTCAGTTTCGGGGCTGCGGCTCACAGAAGTCTAACCTGCCCGGGACGCCCGCACCAACTCCTGCGCGCGGTGAGTTTCTGGGCTCTCGAGAGCGCTGGACTCCCGGCGGAAAGGAGGCTGCCCCGGCTGCAGCTCCGGGGGCTCCGGGGGCTCCAGGGGCTCCAGGACTCGGTTCTCACCGCAAGGGCTCCTGCGGGGCCCATCAACTTCGCCGCTGGGACGCCGGGCTCGGGGTACGGGTCCGGAGTTCTTTGGAGCAATTGAGGCTGAACCTGGCCAGGGGTCATCAGGCTAAATGACCGCAGCGCCAGGACTGGCCCGCCGAGGATCTGGCCGGCCGCGGTGGTAGGGCCCTTACGGAGCTGGCGCCAACCTGTGGGGTGGGCACTGCTGGCCCGGCTTATGGAAGAGAAAACTGAGGCTCGATAAGAGAAAGGGACCAGCGAAGGCGACGCGATGATTTGTGACTGGGGACTACCTGTTTCCTGGGCCCCTCGACCCCATTCTGTGACAGGGAAAGGTCTTCCCTGATTGGCCAAATCTGGGGGCCTGGCACGAGGGCCTCTTGTGATTGGAGGGGTCGACGTGAGCGCTCAGGGGCTGCGCTGGAGTCCCAGCTCCAGCCACTGCGCTCAAGTGGACGGTCGCGCGTGCAGAGGGAGGCCGGATAGCAGACCCCACAACGTGGCTCCTGGGGCCCCGCTATCGAGAGCTCAGGCCCCGCGGGCACTTGCCTAGGAGAGGAAAGAATCTTCCCAAAGTGCAGACAGAGACGGAATTTAATCAGGAGTCCCAGACTTGGAGTTTGGAGGCATGGGCTCTGGTGTCAGGTGACTTTGTTTCCTCCCCACGCCTCCACTTCTCCTTGACCTTGGGCAAGTTTCTTGTGTTCTGAATCTTAGTTTCTTGTCTCTAAAATCGGGAGGGGCAATGAACAGTAGTGCCTGCCTCCCAAGATTGCTTGAGAATTACATGAGACTGCCCCGCGCCTGGCCCTAGGAAACCCTCGGAGAATGTTGGCTGCTGTTTGTTTGTTTGTTTGTTTGAGACAGAGTCTCGCTCTGTCGCCCAGGCTGGAGTGCAGTGGCACGATCTCGGCTCACTGCAACCTCCGCCTCCCGGGTTCAAGTGATTCTCCCGCCTCAGCCTCCCGAGTGCTAGAACTGCATTCATGGGCCCCAGGGCCCTAGCACCAGAACAGAGGGCCCAGAGCTGCAGTCCTGCAGGGTGGCCCAGCCTCACAGGGACTAGAAGCTGGGTCCTGGAGAGCCAAGCCTGGGCTGGGAATTGGGTAGGAGGGTTGGGAGGCCCAGGAAGCCTCCCAGTGTCCCCACACCACCAAGTGAAAGGACACTGAGCGGCCATGACTGGGGGAGGAGGTGGAGGCCTGGAGGCGGCCCATACGGCCCACAAGGGGCTCTATGGGCTTCACTGCAGGCCCCTGCTCTTTCTGGGGCCAAAGGGCAAGCCTGATTGAGGCCCCTCCCAAGGCTCCCGTGCCTGCCATTCTGGCTTTCCCTGGACTGTGACAACAGCCCCTTGGTGGCCACCTGGACTCTGCCTCCCTGCAGGGGGGGAACGACATACTCTTTTATTTTTTTTTTTCAGAAGTAATCATGTACAATATAAAAAAAGAACATTCAGTTAAGAAAACAAAATAATTACAGTCGTCAAAAACCTCTGAAACCCAAAACCCTTTACCCAGTAACTTTCAACATTTCAGTGTAAATTCTTCTAGGCTTTTACCCTGCAGATAAACACACGCATGCACACACAGACACACACACACACACACACAAACTTAAGCCTTACACAATTATCGTGGTTTGTTACTTGTTGGGTGTTTTGACAGTGTCAGGTTTGTATAACTCAATATTTACCAATATTTTCTAATAATTTAATGTTTTCTTCTTATATTTGATTTTCAAGTATTTATTTTTAACCCAATTGGACTGTATTTTAGAGTAAGATGTGAACTATAGAGCTAGATTCATTTATTTATTTCAATTAGTAGACATTTTTAGAGCAGTTTTAGGTTTACAGAAGAATTGAGGACGGAGTGCAGAGTTCCCATATTCTCAGTCTGTCCCTTCCTGCGCGCTTTCTCCTATTTTTCTTTCTATTCTTTTCCTTTCTTTTTTTTTTTTTCTTTTTTTTTTTTTTTGAGACAGGGTCTCACTTTGTTGCCCAGGCTGGAGTGCAGTGGCACAAACACAGCTTACTGCAGCTTTGAACTCCTGGGCTCAAGTGATTCTCATGCCTCAGCCTCCCAAGTAGCTGGGACTACAGGCATGCACAACCACGCCTGGCTAATTTAAAAATTTTTTTGTAGAGATGGGTCTCACTTTGTTGCCCAAGCTGGCCTTGAACTCAAGGGCTCAAGTGATCCTCTGCCTTGGCCTCCCAAAGTGCTGGGATTACAGGCATGAACCACTAGGCCTGGCCTCCCCTATTTTTAACATCATGCATTGATAGGATATTTTTGTTACAGCTTTTTTCTTTTTGAAACAGTCTTGCTCTGTTGCCTAGGCTGGAGTGCAGTGGCACAATCTCAGCTCACTACAGTTTCTGCCTCCCAGGTTCAAGCAATTCTTGGGCCTCAGCCTCTCGAGTAGCTGGGATTACAGGTGCACCACCATGCCCAGCTAATTATTGTATTTTTATAATAGTAGAGACAGGGTTTTACCATGTTAGCCAGGCTGCTTTTGAACTCCTGGCCTCAAGTGATCAGCCCGCCTTGGCCTCCCAAAGTGCTGGGATTACAGGTGTGAGCCACCAGGCCTGGCCAATTTTGTTATACTTGGTGAGCCAATATCGATGCAATGTTATTAATGAAAGTCCATAATTTACATTAGAATTCCCTCTTGGTGTTGTACCTTCTATGGTTTTGGACAAACATATAATGATGAGTATCCAGTGTTACAGTATCATAGAGAATAGTTTCACTGCCCTAAAACTCTCCTGTGCTCTACCCATCCACCCCCCAACCCCCCTACCTATCCCTGGCAACCACTGGTTACTGCCTTTGTAGTTTTGCCTTTTCCAGAATGTCATATAGTATGTATGAATCATATGGTATATAGCCTTTCCAGACTGGCTTCTTTCGCTTAGCAAAATGCATTTAAGCATCCTCCATGTCTTTCTGTGACTTGGTAACCCATTTCTTTTTATCATTGACTAATATTCTGTTGTATGGATGTGGAGGTACCACAGTTTATTTCTCCATTCACATACTACAGGATATCTTGGTTGCTTCCAAGTTTTAGCAGTGAATAAAGCTGCTATCAACATTTGTGTGCAGGTTTTTGTGTGGACATTAGTTTTCTTCTCCTTTGAGTAAATATCAAGAGCGATTGATGGATCACATGGTAAAAGTATGTTTCGTGTTATAAAAAACTACCAAACCTTTTTCCATAGTGGTGGCATAATTTTTCATTTCTACCAGTAATAAATAAGAGTTCCTGTTGCTCCACAGCCTCATCAGCATTTGTTGTCAGTGCTCTTAATTTAACTCTTCTAATACGCATATAGTAGTATCTCATTGTTATATTTTAATTTGCAATCTGTAATGACTTACAGTGTTGAGCATCTTTTTAAATGCTTCTCTGCCATCTGTATATCTTCTTTTGTGAATGTCGGTTAATTTACTTGGCCCATTTTAAAATTGGGTTGTTTGTTTTACTGTTGAGTTTTAATAGTTCTTTGTATATTTTGGATAACAGTGCTTTACCAGATATGTCTTCTCTCCCCAACCATGGCTTGTCTTTTCATTCTCTTAACAGTGTCTTTTGCAGAGCAGAAGTTTTAAATTTTAATAAGGTCTAATGTACCATTTTTTTTCCTCCATGAATTGTGCTGTTGTTGTTGTATCTAAAAAGTCAAATCCAAGTTTTGGCAGTTACAAATAAAGATGCTGTAAACATCAGTGTACAGATATTTGTGTGATTTTTGTGCAATGCAGATTTTCTCCATTGTCTTGCCTTTGTCTCTTTGTCAAAGTTCAGTTGACTGTATTGATGTGAGTTTACTTCTGGGCTCTCTATTCTGTTCAATTGATCTATCTGACTATTCTTTTGCCAATACCGTACTGTCTTGATTACTGTAGCTTTATAGTAAAGTCTTGGGGACAGGCAGTATCGGTCCTCTAACTTCGTTCTCCTTCAATATTGTGTTGACTATCCCAGGTCTTTTGTCTCTCCAAATAAACTTGAGAATCAGTTTGTTGATATCCACAAATAACTGCTGGGGTTTTGATTGGGATTGCATTGAATCTATAGATAAAGTCGGAAAGAACTGACATCTGGACAGTATAGAGTTTCCCTACCCATGAACATGTACTATCTCTTCATTTATTTATACATATTTTTATGTTTTCATCAGTTATGGTTATTCTCACATAGATTTTGACCTATTTTAGGTTTATGTATAAATAATTCACTTTTTGGTGCTAATGTAAATGGTTTTGTGTTTTTAATCTCAAATTTCAATTGTTTATTGCTAGTATATAAGAAAGTAATCAATTTTTGTATATTAACCATGACTTTACATCCAGCAACTTTGGCAGAATAACTTATTATTTCCAGTTTTCTGTTGCTTTGTTGGCATTTTCCACATAGCCAATTATGTTTTTTGAGAACAAGAACAGTTTATTTCTTCCTTCCCAATCTGTAGACTTTTCATTTTCTTTTCTTTTCTAATTACATTAGCCAGCACTTCCAGTATAATGTTGACTAGGAAGGGTGAAAGGGAACATCCTTGCCTTATTTCTGATCTTAGGGGAAAAGCTTCTAGTTTCTCTCCATTAAGTATGATGTTAGCTGTAGGTTTTTCATAGATCTTCTTTATCAAGTTAAGTTCCCATTTATTACTAGCTTGCTGAAAGCTCTTATCATAAATGAATGTTAGATTCTTGTCAAATGCATTTTCTGGATCTATTGATGTGATCATATAATTCTTCCTTAGCCTATTCATGCGATGGATTACATTAATTGATTTTCAAATGTTTAACCTAGAATAAATCCCATGTGGTGGTTATGTATAATTCTTTTTAAACATTGTTGGATTCAATTGCTGATTTTTTTGAGGATTTTAACATCTATGTTTATGAGAAATATTGATCTGTTAGTTTCCTTTCTTGTAATGTTTCTGGTTTTGGTACCAGGGTAATTCTGACCCAAGAAAATTAGAGAATTTCCTCTACTTCTATTTTTTGAAAGAGATCATAGAGAATTGGCATAATTTCTTTCTTAAATGTTTAGTCATATTCATTAACCCTAGTGCTTTCTATTTTGGAAGGCTACTGGCTCCAGTTCTTTAATCAGTATAGGCCTATTCAGATTATCTATTTCTCTTTGTGTGAGTTTTGGAACGTTGTACTTTCAAGGGATTGTTTCATTTCATTTAACTTACCAAATTTGTTGATATAGAGTTGTTCATACTAGTATTTTATTATCCTTTTAATGACCGTAGGATCAGTATTGATGGCCCTTCTTTCATTTTTGATATTAGTAATTTGAGTCTTCTCTCTTTTTCTTCTTAGTTAACCTGGCTAGAGGTGTCTCAGTTTTATTCATCTTTTCAAGGAACCAGCTTTAGGTTTTGTTGATTTTCTCTATTGACAGCATGTTTTCAATTTCACAAGTTCTGCTGTAATTTTTATTATTTCCTTTCTTCTGTTTATTTTGGATTTAATTTGCTCTTCTTTTTCTAGTTTCCTAATTTGGAAACTTGCTTTTAGCTCTTTCTTCTTTAATAATATATGCATTCAGTGCTCTAAATTTCCCTCTAAACACTACTTTAGCAGCATCCCATAAATTTTGATGTTATATTTTCATTTTAATTTAGTTTGAAATATTTTAAATTTTTTCTTGAGAGTTATTCTTTGATTTGTTTACATGTTGTTTAGAAGTGTGTCATTTAGTTTCCATTTTTTTAATGTTTTTCAGATATCTTTCTGTTATTGATTTCTAGTGATTCTGTTGTGATCTCAGTAATCTCCATCATAGAAGTCATTGATATTTGTTGTTGTATGTTTTATGGCACAGAATGTGGTCTGTCTTGATGAATATTCCATGTGAACTTGAGAAGAATGTGTATTCTGTTGTTGTTGGGTGAAGTATTCTCTAAATGCCAATTAGATACACTTAATTGATGGTGCTGTTCAACTATGTCCTTACTGATTTCCAGCCTGCTGGATCTATCAGTTAGTGGGTACTGGCCAGGCACGGTGGCTTACGCCTGTAATACCAGCACTTTGGGAGGCCGAGGTGGGCAGATCACCTGAGGTCAGGAGTGCGAGACCAGCCTGACCAACATGGAGGCTCTACTAAAAATACAAAATTAGCCGGACGTGGTGGTGCATGCCTGTAATCCTAGCTACTCGGGCGGCTGAGGCAGGGGAATTGCTTGAACCCGGGAGGCGGAGGTTGCAGTGAGCCGAGATCGTGCCACTGCACTCCAGCCTGGGCAACAAGAGTGAAACTCCGCCCCCCCAAAAAAAACGTTAGTGGGGACTGACAGAGAGGTGTTGATGTCTCCAACTGTAATAATAGTGGATTCATCTATTTCTCCTTAAAATTCTGTCAGTTTTTGCTTTACACATTTTAGCACTGTTGTTAGGCACATACATATTAAGGAGTATTATGTCTGCTGGGATAATTGACTCCTTTACCATTATGTAGTGCTTCTCTTTATTCCTAATAATTTTCCTTTCTCTGAAGTCTGCTTTATCTGAAGTTAATAGAACTACTCCATATTTCTTTTGATTAGTGGTAGCACGGTATATCTTTCTCCATCCCTTTATTTGTAACCTATCTGGTTTTTATGTTGAAATGGGTTTGTTGTAGACAACATATAGTTAGGTCACGATTCTTTATTCACTCTAGATAGTCACATGTTTTAATTGGTATATTTACACCATTGATATTTGAAGTGATTTTTTGATATAGTTGGATTAATATTTACCATATTTATTACTGTTTTCTATTTGCCCTTTGTTTCTTTTTTCTTCCACACTTTTTTCTGCCTTTTCTGATCTTAACTGAGCATTTTATATGATTCCATTTTCTTTTCTCTCTTAGCATATCAGTTTTACTTTTTTGTTGTTGCTTTTTTAGTGGTTGACCTACAGTTTGCAATATACACTTAAATCTAATTTAAGTCTGCTTTTGAATAACACTATACAACTTTATGGGTAGTGTAAGGGCCTTATTGCAGAGTATTCTTGATTCCTCCCTCCCATGCCTTATTATTACTGCTATCATTCATTTCACTTATCCATAAGCTACAATCACTGAATACATTGTTGCAATTATTATTTTGAACAAATTGTTATCTCTCAGATTAAGAATAAGAAAAAAAATTATTTCACATTTATTTCTAATACTCTTTTGTATGTTGAGTTTCTGACTTGTTTAATTTTCCTTTTTTTCTGAATTACTTCTTTTAACATATCTTGTAAGGCAGTTTACTGGTGACAAATTCCTTCAATTTTTGTTTGAGAAGTCTTTCTCCTCCACTTTTGAAGGACAATTTTACTGCATACAGATGGAATCTAGTTAGTTCTAAGTTGATGGAATGTTTTCAGTTCTTTAAATAATTCTTTCTATTCTATTCCTGATTGCATGGTTTATGAAGAGACGTTTGATGTAATCCTCATCTCTCTCCCTCTATAGGTAAGGTGTCCTGCCCTGCCTCTCCCTGGCTTCACTGAAGATTATCTCTGTGTCTTTTATTTTTTGCAGTTTGAATATGATATGCCTAAGTATAGATTTTTTGGGGGGTGGGGGGTGATCTTTATCCTATTTGGTTTCCTCTGAGCTGCTTGGATCTTGGTTTGGTATCTGTCTTTAATTTTGGAAAATTATCAGTCATTATCACTTCAAACATTTTTACTATTCCTTTCTTTCTTTTTATTCCATCTGATATCCCTATTACAAGGATTTACACCTATGGCAATTGTCCCACCATTCTTGGATATTCTGTTTTGTCTTTTTTATTCTATATTTCCCTTTGCATTTCAGTTTGGGAAGTGTTTGTTGATATTTCATCCATCTCATTGATTATTTCCTCAACTGTATCCAGTCTATTGATAAACCTATTAAAGACATTCTTTGCATTTATCACAGGGTTTTTATTTCTAGACTTTTTTTGATTTTTTTCTTAATTTCCATCTCTCTGCTTACATGACCAATTTGTTCTTATATGTTCTCCACATTTTTCCATTAGAGCTCTTAGCATTTTAATTATCATTGTTTTAAATTTTCCATCTGAAAATTCCAACATTGCTTCCATATCTGATTGTGGTTTAGGTGCTTGTTTCATCTTTGCAAACTGTGTTTTTGTCTTTTATATATCTTGTAATTGTTTTGCAGAAAATCAGATATAATGTATTGGGTAAAAGGTACTGAGGTAGATAGGCTTTTAGTGTGAGGTTTGATATTTACCTGTCTAGGAGTTAGAATGTGTTTACTATTTGCTATAGCTGTGGGTATCAGAGGATATAATTTTCTCTCTTCATCTTCTTGTTTTTGTCTACCCTGTTGTCTTTGGGTTTTTGTAGAAACTCCTTAAATAGGCTCTGGCTTGCAGTTCTCTTATCCGTAATCCCCTTGTTACTATACTGGAGCCCTGTGGATGTAGTAGCAAGGTGTTTTGGTGGGGGGAAGTGTTTTACAGTCCTACAATTAGGTCTTAGTGTTTCAGTGAGCCTGCACCCCTGGGCTGTGACCTTCACAAGTGTTTCTCAGTCCTACCCCTTTTAGGTGATGAGAAAGGCTAGAGGGGCTGGATTTGGGTTTTTCCTCATCACTTAGGTTAGTTAGGCCCTGGGTGTCCATTCACTTAGGCTCTGGTATAATAGTTTCTATGAGGGTAGATATGTTGAGAAAAAAATGACTGCTTTCCTTGCCTCCTGCCAAAACCAGAAGGGGATTTTTCTCCAATCCTTACTGTGAGAACTGTAAGAATTAAAGAAAGAGGAAAGAAATACAAAAGCTGGCTTGCCAGTTAAGACATTTATTTTAGAGAAAATCAACCTGAAAGGAGCCTTCTGGCCAAGTTAGGTCAGAGGCACACTCTCTTACAGACTGAGTTTTTAAGGATTCAGGATGGGAGAGTTTATCAGAGGCTTGGACTGCTTCTGTGTCTCTTTGTTGTGCTTATCTGGGAGGGAGAGTTGTGTGCCTGTTTTCATACATTTTTCCTGCAGCTGCAGGTATAGTCCCTGAGTCTGTTTTTACTTATTTATTGAGACAGAGTCTCGCTCTGTCGCTAGGCCGGAGTGCAGTGGCGCCATCTCGGCTCACTGCAACCTCTGCTTCCCAGGTTCAAGCGATTTTCCTGCCTCAGCCTCCTGAGTAGATGGGACTACAGGCATGCGCCACCACGCCTGGCTAATTTTTTGTAGTTTTAGTAGAGACGGGGTTTCACCGTGTTAGCCAGGATGGTCTTGATCTCCTTACCTCGTGATCCGCCCGCCTCGGCCTCCCAAAGTGCTGGGATTACAGGCATGAGCCACCGCGCCCAGCCAAGAGTCTGCTTTTAGCTTTCCTGTCTTAGTGCCCCTGAAGGAAAGGGAATGTGCTTGTTCCTTATTATTAAGGCCCACTGTTTTACTGGGGCCCATCGTATGAGGGTGAAGTTTGGCAGTTACCCAAGATACTTTCCCCCCACCTCCCTTTGTGTCCCAGCTGTCTTATCCGTGTTTTACTGTCTGCTCTTTCTGGCTGCTTGTAGTTAGAAGAGAAGTGATTTCCTTGAAATGCATGAGGCTAGAAAGGGAGCTGGAATTTAAAGTGGCGGTGTTTGTCTGAGATGACAGTACTCCTGCTCTATCATTCCAGACCCTATGGTTATAAAAGGACAAGAGGGGACATGTTCTTTCTAGCTACTTCCTGCTGATGCGGGGGTGGAGAGTTTTTTGGTCTTAGATTGACTGTAGGATCAACACCATTTGTAGATGTTTTTGGGTAGTTGCGAAATGGCCATGATTCTGTCGGTTAAAAATTTTTGATAAAGGTTAATTAGGCAGAGTAAAAACATTAGTCCTAGGCTTTTCAGCAGCATTTTTTATTAGGCCCGACTGGTTGAGACAGAAGTAACTTTTTTTTTTTTTTTTTTTAATGACAGGCAGAGGTGCATGTTTGGAAAGACCCATGTGTTATTTTTTGTTAGTAACTGTTATTCCTGCTATGAGGATAATAATTAAGCAAAATGCTACAGTAATTGAGATTCTCTGTCAGATATTCCACTCTGAGGGTTCACAGTCCTACTGCAAATAGTAGAGTGAGTACAGCAGTTCCCGCGAGGGTGTCATAGTAAATAATTTTCATTAAAAAAGGTTTTAATAGTTGGCTTAAAAGGAGAAGTAGAAACGACAAAAAGTATTTGGTGAGGTGGGGTTGAGACTGAGTAAGATGAGCAATTTTTACTTAGTTACTTAACTTTTATGATTTTTAGCTTAAGATTTCTTATTTATTTTTTTACATGAATAGGACTTTTTTTGGACTGTTAGGGGTTGCTTTCTCAGCTCTTTAGGCTTTGACTTGAATATGATGTATCCAGGAGTTGATTTCTGTAACGGATATAATTTAAACTGTAAAAGATAATAAAAATTGAAAAATGTTAGGCAAGACTAGAATTTAACAACAGGTGTGCTATAGTTTTTGAAACATAATTTTTACTTTTCAGTTTCCTATTTTTATTAAAAGAATTTATGATAGGACTGATTTGCTTTATTATACTTGGCTTAATTATTTGTATACAGTGCAGCAATAATAATTATTTGCTACATAGGCCTTTTAAATCAGCTTTGATGGAACTTTGTTACATAGAAGGAATTTGAGATAAGAGTTGTTAAAGCCAAGCCCAGCCATGGATTTGTACCATTAAATACTTATGAGTTGGGTGAATTCCTTTTCTTTTGAGGTTTTAAGATAACTTGGGGTTCCTGGCCTGTCAGAAAGTGACATTCTTTACTTACCACACATCAGAAACCCTGTACAGGGACTGTGCACACAAAATATGAGGCCAGTTTTCCAAGGGTTTCATTGGCTTCTTAAGTTTGATTCCTTAGAGGAGAGCACACCATTCCAGTCAAAGCCTTGGGAAAATAACCAGTTTTTCCAATTGTATTCTGTTACAAAAGAAAATAGATTCTTATTGCACTGATGCAAACAACTGTAGTGTTGTCCTTTAAGAATGCTTATAACTAGTTTTTAAATTCTAGAGGAACTAGGCAAAGAGAAAAAAACACGCTTTAAATTCTATTTACAGGAGTATACTTTACTTAGTTGTTAGAAGCTGTAGCTAGCTTAAGACAAGTTTTCTTGACTCTGAAAAATAAGATAAAGATTAGCAGCATTCTAAGGAAAAGGTAAAAACTTGTTTTTGTTTTTTATTAGTTTAGTGCATTTTATTAATTTTTGTTTTGCTTGATATTTATAAACATTTTAGCTTTTTGTGAGTTCTGCATGTTTTGTTGTTGTTGTTGCTGTTGTGAGAAACCTGCCTTTGAGAGCGCTTGTTAAAGTTTCACAGCTTGAATATAAACCACGTTTTGAAGATAATTCAAACAAAATAAAAATTGTCTGTAAATAACAAAATGTCTAGTTTGGATACTGTTAGAAACACAATTGACAAAGAAATGTGGTTGTTTTTGTGGTTTACAATAACCCAACATAACAACTTTAAGTGTGATTAATAGCACATATTTAGACATAAGAACCTTAGACATCCCATACAGTTTTGGAACATATGTTAGTATTATTCCTTAGAATATAACCTATTAGACAGTCTTTTGGAAATTTTATGTTGCTAAATAATTCTGTTTACCTCTTTTTGGATGGTTTAGGGGTTTTGTGCAGCACCGAAAAGCCAGGGGTTAGGAAAGACAACCTCGAGACTAAAGTTTGATTTGGGGAAGACTGTTAAATATGTTTAAAATTTAAAACCCTCGATATTATGAAATAGAATTTTAGATTACCGTTAAGTTTTTTTCTGTTTGTTTTGTTTTGCTAAAATGATGAGATAACAATCTGGAAAAGCAAAAACCATTTATTAGCCTTTTGTATTACAGGAAAATTTTGTTTAAGAGAGAAAGTTAAATTTTACCCTTTCATTAGTTTGCTATTAATGTTAACTTTAATTTTAATGAAACCTTATAGATAATTTTATTTAATTTTAATGAGTTTGACTATGAAGTGAGATTTTTATATGCCCATTATAACCCTTGACAAGTTTTGCTAAAGAGTAGATTAGCATTTTAAGAAAATCTTGTGGTGCTTTTATTTTAGTGTTTAATTTACAGAAAAAAAGCATATAATACTCTTTTGAGTTTAGTTAATGTGTTAACACACAAGAGTTTTATTTGCAGAATTAATTTTTATGATGTTTTTACAATTTGCCTAAACCTTTCACTTTATTTTATTTAATTTTAAGACAATTTATTATTCTTCAGCAAAATGTACATTTTTATGCCTTTTTATAATTTTTAACTAAAAACACTTTTTACTGTTTTTATACACCTTGCATGCAAATCCATGTTTAGCAGTTTTAATTACATGTTATAATGATAACTTTTAGCAATTTTTAACTTTAAGGTAAAATGTGTTAAGTTTTTTTGTGTGTGACTTGAAACTAAAAACACTGACTCATTTTGTAATTTGGGCGAAGTAGCTCTGAAATATAATGCTGTTTTTTCAATTTTAAACACTTGGGTAAAATCGCAAGGTGAGTGCTTAGGTAGAAATAAGTAACTACTGAACAGGTGGGAGCAAAGTTTAGTTGGGCAATACTCTTTATGATACCGACATGTGAATGCTTACTAGTTTTAAAAGTGCTGGCTTTATTGTTGTAGTCACAGAGGAGTCTAAAGGCAAGGCTGGGTAGCTTCTGGCTCCCACGTTAACATTATTTATTTAGTATGCCAGATTTTTCTTAAGGTGCACTAGCCACTGAGGATATTTTTGCTGGTGGGAACTGAGATTTTCTAGACAGGTAAATTAGCTGCCAATTATGGTTTATCTTAGGGACATGTTTATAGAGATAGTATTCTTACTTAGCTTGCATTCTAAATTTTGTTCCCTTATTATCTTGTTAAAGCGATGAATATGTTTGTACAATGAAGACAACTTTTTTTGCCTTTTTAGGTTAGAGCTTCAGCATGAGAATTATACTTCAACACAGAAAGTTAGGTCTATAAGTGAAATATAATAAAGTGTTCTGAAAAGAAGGAGACTACCTTACAACCCCAAGAGAAAAATATGCGGCACTAAGCCCTGGTTCCTTTTTTCCTTATTGTTTTGTCATTTTTTTAGAACTTTGGGAACTAAAATCTTTTTGCTTAAATGCTGAATTTATAAATTGAAACAGACTCTTGGGTTTTGTTATAAAGGCAACGTAATAATACTTCTATGTATTTTATAGGCTTATATAGTATAATAACTTGAATTTATGGTTGGATTTGACTGAACCTACGTAGATACTAATCTGAATGACTCATATACAGAAAATGTGCAGTATTTTAAGTATAAAAAATTAAACTGGACTAGTTTGCTTTTGTTTTATAGTATAAATGAAAATGACCCAAACTATTTAATTGTATGAGCAGAAATTATGAATGAAAGATGTATTTTAGAGCTATATGACAGAGGGGCATTTTAACTTGAATTCCCCAGTGGCAAAAGTAGTGTATAAACTAATGCTAGTGTATACACTACTGAAGTGCCAACTTATGTAACATTTTTAAATTTAATTTTTAAAATGAAAGATTTTTTTTTCACTGTGAAGGGCAGTAACATTAAATTTTCCCAGTGGGTATGAGTGAATGATTTACTTAGTACATTGATATACTTAACTATTAGCATTTTTGGGAAGCTGGATTTGATACAAATTTATTTTGAAAAACATGGTTTATGAAATTTTATAATAAAATTATTAATAAAGACATTGTTAAGTTTCTATAAACATGCACTAAAAGTGGCAAGACAGAGTGGAGAAATGTAATTTTGGCTGAGAAAAAAACTTTTTTCAGGAAAACAAGATTTATGAAGAGAAAAACATAAAGGACTTTTGAATATACTTTCTTGGATATCCATTTTAATTAAGCTGAGCACTCTTTTTTATTAAAGGTAAGGGTGGATTTTGGAATTATATAAATGTTATGCCAAGTTAAATGAAAGGATTGAGTTATATGCAGGAATTCCCTGTGATAATGAGAGGGATTTTTAGAGAAAGATCCCAGAAGCTGTTCTATCTGCCACAAATCAGACATGGAGAAGGGGACATGAACGTGAGCAATGCCTTTAACCCTGGCCACTTCCCGGAGAGGGAGAATGGCAGGGGAGGTTTGACTGGTTGGAGCAGTTTTTGAACCGGTGGAGAAGGACGAGGGGTGCGGTTTAAAGTAGAAGAAACCCTGAATATGGGGAACCTATTGCCAGAATCTCTGAGATACAGCTAAAGCAGTGTTAAGAGGAAAGTTTCTAGCACTAAATGGCTTCATCGAGAAGATAGAAAGATCTCAAATTAACAAACTAACTTCACCTAAAGGAACTAGAAAAAAAGAACAAACCAACCCCAAAGCCAGTCAAAGAAAAGAAGTAAAAATTAGAGAACTGAATGAAATTGAGATGCAAAAATCCATACAAAAGATCAATGAAATCAAGAGTTGGTTTTTCAAAAAAATAAAAATAAACAAGATCATTAGACCACTAGCTACATTAACACACAAAAAGAGAAGATCCAAATAAGTATAGTCAAAAATGGCAAAGATGACATTACAACCAATCCACAGAAATTAGAAAAGATTCTTAGAGAATACTGTGAACAAATATATGCACACAAATGAGAAAATCTAAAGGAAATGGATAAATTCCTAGAAACACACAATCTCCCAAGACTAAAGTAGGAAAAGATTGAAATGCTGAATAGACCAATATTGAGCTCTGAAACTGAATCAGTAATGAAAACAACTACCAACCAAGGAAAGCTCAGGGCCAGATGGATTCACACTGAATTATACCAGACATACAAAGAAGTAATGACACCAATCCTATTGAAAGTATTACAAAAAAATTGAAAAGGAGGGGATCCTACCTGACTCATTCTGTGAAGCCAGCATCTGCCTAATACCAAAATCTGGCAGAGACATAACAAAAAAAGAAAACTTCAGGCCAATATCCCCGATGAACATAGACACAAAAATCCTCAACAAAATACTAGCAAACCAAATCCAGCAGCACATCAAAAAGTTAATATACTGTGCTTAAGTGGGCTTTATTCTTGGGATGCAAGGCTGGTTTAACATACACAAATCAATAAATGTGATTCACCACATAAACAGAATTAAAAGCAAAAACTATATGATCATCTCAATAGATACAGAAAAAGCTTTGGATAAAATCCAACATCCCTTCCATAAGCGAAAAACAAATAACCCCATTAAAAAATGGGCAAAGGACATGAACAGACACTTCCCAAAAAAACACGTACAAGCAGCCAACAAATGAGGAACATTTCAATATGTTCCTCATCACTAATTAAAATGAGGAAAATTTTAATATGTTCCTCATCACTAATCATTAGAGAAATGCAAATCAAAATCACAATGAGATACCATCTTACACTGGTCAGAATGGCTATTACTAAAAAGTCAATAACAGTGCTGGTGAGGCTATAGAGAAAACAACGCTTATACACTGTTGGTGGGAATGTAAATTAGTTCAGCCACTGTGGAAGTTTCTTAAAGAAAAGTTTAGAGATTTCTTAAAGAACTTAGAACTACCATCCAACCCAGCAATCCCATTACTGGGTATATACCCAAAGGAAAATAGATCATTATATGAAAAAGACACATGCGCTTGTATGTTCGTCGTTGGACTATTCACAACAGCAGTGACAGGGAATCAACTTAGGTGCCCAACAATGGTGGATTGGATAAATAAAATGTACATATACACCATGGAATATTACACAACCATAAAAAGGAGTGAAAGCATGTCTTTTGCAGCAACATGGGTGGACTAGAGGCCGTAATCCTAAGTGAATTAAGGCATAAACAGAAAACCAGATACTGCACGTTCTCACTTGTAAGTGGGAGCTCAACATTGAGCACACATGCACATAAAATGGGAACAACAGACACTGCAGACTGCTAGAGGGAGTACGGGAATGGGTTGAAAAAACTCCGTTGGGTACTGTGCTTACTACCTGGGTGCAATATGTTCATATATCAAACCTGCACCTGCACCCCCTGTTTCTAAAATAAAAGTTGAAAGAAAGAGAAAGCTACACCAAAACCTGAATAGGACATTTGTTACAATGAAGTATTTGACACATCAATATTTCTTTTCTTCTTTTCTGCCTCACCCTGCCCTGCCCCGCCCTACCTTGCCTTGCCTTGCCTTTTTTTTTTGAGACATAGTCTCACTCTGTTGCCCAGGCTGGAGTGCAGTGGTAGGGTCTCAGCTCACTCTAGCCTAGACCTCCCAGACTCAAGTGATTCTCATGCCTCAGCCTCCCAAGTAGCTGGGACTACAGGCACGTACTACCATGTCCAGCTATTGTTTGTTTTTGCAGAGATGGGGTCTCACTATGTTGCCCAGGATGGTCTTGAACTCCTGGCCTCTAGCAATCTGCCCACCTCAGCCTCCCAACGTGCTGGGGTTGCAGTCATGAGCGACTGGGACTGGTTCATGTCAATATTTCTTACAAGCATAGATTTAAAAACAAATAAAATACCAGCTCTTCAAATTCAGAGATATATAGAAAGGTTATACATCATGGTCAAGTGGTATTCATTCCAAGAATGCAAAGGTGGCTTAACATTTAAAAATCAATCATTATGATCCACCACAATAAAATAAAAATCTCATGACCTATAGGAAGAACATTTGGTAAAAGTCAACTCCTTGTCATGATTGGCAGCCAGAAATATATTAATAAGACAACTTTCATAATATGCTAGTCTATCTACCAAAATTCCCCAAAGCTAACCAATGGTCAAATATTGAATGGTTTCTTCCCAAGGTCACAGGAATGAGACAGGAACTACTATCACCATCTGTATTCAATATTGTAGTGGATATATTGGCAAGTGCTATAAGAAAGTAAATGAAATGAAAGACTTCAGGATTAGAAAGAAAGAATTAAAACCAACATCATAACATGATTTTATACTTAGAAAACCACAAAGAATCTACACAGTATGAAAATTTATATGTGAAGCAATTAAGGTGCTAGTTAATACAACGTCAGTGTACAAAATCAATTGTATTTCTATATGCTAGCAACAAAAAAGACAAACCAATTTTTAAAATGGGTCAAAACTCGAATAAACATTGCTCCAAAGAAGGTATACAAATGGCCAAAAAGCACATGAAAAGATGTTTAACATCATGATTCAATAGGAAAATACAAATCAAAACCACAATGAAATACCACTTCACAACTACTAGGTAGATCAGCTACAATAAAGCTTTAGGTTATGTATCTTCACCACTACAACAAAAAACATTTTTAAGCTATACTAAATGCAAAGATAGACAAACTGACTAAAGTTTCAAAGATAGATGTGTACATGTATGATCCTTTTCAATGAAGAAACGTCTTTTCAGTAACTAGTGCTGGGTTAATTTTATATGCAGATGGAAAAAAAATTCTGGACTTCTACCTTATATTGTATGAAAAAATCAGTTCCAGAGGGATTGCACATCTAATGTAAAAGGCAAAACAATAAAGATCTTGAATGACAAGGAGAACATCTTCATGAAGTTGGAGTAGGCAAAGATTTTTTAAATAGAATACAAGAACCACTAAACATAAAGGAAATGTTTGATAAAATGTACTATATTAAGTTTAAGAACATCTGTTCATCAAAAGACATTATACGAGGATGAAAAAGGCAAGCCACAGAATTAGGGAAGATATTTTCCATACACATATCTGACAAAGAGCTCAAAGTCTAGATGATTAAAAAACAAAACAGAGCAACAATACAAAAAAACTCCTTTTCAATAAGAATAAAACCACCCAATGGAAAAAAACAGACAAAAGATTTGAAGAGATGATTCCCACAAAAGGATATCCAAATAGCCAAGAAACAGGAAAAGGCATTCGACTTCATTGGTCATCAGGGAATTGCAAATTAAACCCCAATGAGACAGCTGTATTTCATGTTAGGAAAAGCGCTAAAATGAAGACACAAGCCAAAGTGGAGAGCACATGGAAGTGGAAACTAATACAACCACTCTGGAAAACTGGCAGCGTCTGTTAAAGCTGGAAATTTTCACACCTATGACCCAGGAATTCCACCCTAAGTACACACCTGACAGAGATGTGTACATGTGTACCATGAAGACCATGTGCAAGTATCTTTGTAGCATCCTATTTGTAATACCTTTAAACTGGTAACTACCCAAATTCCATTAACAATAGAATGAATAAATGAACTAGAGGTCATCCACATATCAAAATACTCTGCAGCAATGAGAATAAACTCAGTACAACTACATGCAACCACAAAGATAATGTTGAGGGAGAAAATCTACAAAACACTGCATGGTTCCATTTATGTAAAATGAATACATATAAAGGGGATATATATATATATCAAGCGAAACCATTCGATGCTGTTAGAAGTCCCATCATTCTTGGTGAATGTAGTGACTAGAAGAGGCTCAAAGAGTTCCTGGAGTTTTTCTCTTTCTGGTGGTGTTGACAGTGGTGTGTTTGGTTTGTGAAATTCATTGAGCTACACATCTATGATTTGTGCACTTTCTGTATGTATGAAGTACACATTACTTTAATAAAATTTTCCAAAATAAAATCTTATTTTCGTAAAAGGACAATTTAAAGAACTGTATTAAGTGAATAATAGTTCAGGTTTTACAGATATGCGTGAGGTGAATGAATGACCAATCTTTGGAGAATGTGCATGATTAGCTAGGCTTCATTCTACACATCTTCCTTAGTGGAATCCCATTCCACTTTCCACCACCTTCATCCTCAGGCGCCCCCACGCAGGCCCCTTTTCTGTTGCAGCTCAGCTGGACAGCCCCTTCGGCGGGGACTCCCCTTGCTCCTTTTGTGACTCCTGGCTCAGAGGAATAAGCCTAATTTGTAGGCTGAAAGCCATTTGAGAGATGTGGCATCTTTCTCATGAACAAGTGTGACTTGACCAAGGCCATAGAACTGGTTAGTTACAGAAATATGCTCAAATACATATCAAACATCTTGACACCCAACATTCCATGCCAGTTTGGAAGGTTTCAAAAAGAAATCCCCTAATTCTACAATCCATTTCCAGCTCACCTGCTGTCGCATTGAATATTCTGACATTAGGGATCCATTGGGTCATGTGTACATGTTTCATCTGGTCTCTCTTACAGTGGCAGTCTCCCCTCAGTGGCCTGCCACCCACAGAGCCACAGAGGGGACTGGGGTAGAGCAGGCCAGGTGCCATGAACTGCCCTGTCTTGAACCAGGGCTGGCTTCTCTGAGACCAGCGATCTCTGTCTAATTGCTGCCTTATTCCTTCTCCAGGTCCTTCCAACCCTCCTGCTACCATGAAGATTGCAGTGATTGGACAGAGCCTGTTTGGCCAGGAAGTTTACTGCCACCTGAGGAAGGAGGGCCACGAAGTGGTGGGTGTGTTCACTGTTCCAGACAAGGATGGAAAGGCCGACCCCCTGGGTGAGTGAGCCAATGGAGCAGGGAAGCTGATGGAGGGCGGCCCGCCCATCCAGGTAGAAGGGAAGCAGTAGGTGGGAGTCTGGGAGCAGAAGTCTGCAGGGCCTGTGCTCTAGCTGGGAGGCAGCCATAAGTGGTCTACCTTGAATCCTGCTCCAGTGCCAACAGGCTGCTGGGCTTTTCTGGAATAAATTGGAGATCCCCTCCCCACCTGATCATGGGGTGGCATTAGGGTCCTGGAGAAGGGCTATAGAGAAGCCCAGCCTGGTCCCAGGTCCCACACAGAGCTTCTCTGACCCAGCACCCATGATTGGGAAGGTCTCCATGTTCTGAACTGGGGGTCCATATTCTGAAAGGTGGGCATGCGCGGCATCACCATTGCTGGGGCTGCCGTCAAAACACATAGTGCTCTACTTACCCATCAGGGGAGAGACCATGATCACAAAGGTGGTTTTCCCAGGGCGAGTCTTCTCCATTGTACTCTGGATGTGCTGATCCCTGCAATTTCCCCAAAGGTGGGAAACTCGACTTCATAATTTGTGGTAATGGGGAACTGCATTTGCACTCTCCCCTGGCATTTTGTAAAAGAAAAGAAAAAAACACAGAGAGTACTAAGCGCACCCTGAGAGTTTCGGATTCAGAATGAGGTGGAAAAGTCAGAATTAGGTGAAATTGTTAACCTGGGACAAGTTCCTGGGAGATACTGGCATCTCTTGTACTAGGAAAAGCACGTTTTGAGAATCATGGGTCTGGGTCACTGCCTTTGAGCTGGGAACCTCAGCAGACAGGATGCAGGGGCCTCAGCTTGGATGAACAGACCCTCTAGGAACACTGACTGGTCCTTCTCAGGCCTGATGGAGACAGACTGTGGGGCAGGGCTTAAGGATAGAGGGCCAGGATTAGGAAAGGGGGCTTGTAGGCCTGGCCAGGCACAGAGGTGTAGTTTGTTAAGGAAAGCCAGTCTCCCTCAGTGGGGAAGCTGCAGCCTGGCCCTAGAATCAACTCCAACACTCAACACCCAATGCCAGCCAGGCTTCAGTCTTGGACCTGACCACAAGTGACCCATGACATACCCTGACCCCACCACAGCCTGGGTCCTACACCCAGCCACTAAGTGACCACTGACCCCAGCTGCTGACCCTGGACCCAGACCAGGCCTGGCTGGGACTCCTACTTGGCCTTGATCTCAGATGTCCTGAAGCAGTATTTCATTGGTCACTGTGGGACAGCTTTTGCAAGTGCAGTCCAATCTGCTGACATCACATCCCACCCTCTCTCAAAACTACCAGACACCAGGACAGAGTGACAGAGGAGGAGACCGGAGAGGAGAGCCAGTCCAGTCAGGGCCCAAACATCACACCAGAGGCTCTAACAGAGAACTGAATACAAAGAAGTGTTCCTTGGGTATTGAAGAGTGGAAGGCAGAGAGCCCAAAGTTATTGGGGACAGCGACTGCAGGAAGCAGCTGCCACTGTAAGGCTAAGATAAAGGAGGACGCTTTAACTATAAAAACTTGGGAGCTTGGGCCTGTAATCCAGACCTGTGAGGAGGGTGTGCTGGTGACGGGGCAGGAGGAGGGGCCCTGCAGGCTGTATCTGGTCCTCTGGGGTGTGTGTGTGTGTGTGTGTGTGTGCACGCATGTGTGCATATTGAGGCTAGTTCTGCAGATGATGGAAAAACTGATTTAGCCATTGCTCTGAGAAGGAACGACTGTGACTGGGATGAAGAAGCTGGGCTGGGGGAGGCTCACAGGACAGGAACCCACTGGACAGAAAGGAGTGGGGATGCCCTGTTGCCCTTCTTCCCCTTCTTCCTCCATCAGGGAACAGCTGACAAAGCAGAAATGCCATCTGCAGGGGGGCAGTCCCCATCACAGAGTGAGCAGTAGAGGGGGCCGGAAGACAGTAACTCAGTGACGGGGATGGCAAGGCCTCAGGAGAGGAATGAGGGCAGAGGTCAGCCATCTGGGTTCTGGAAGAGGGAGGCACTCAGAGGTCCTGGGGTTCAGCAAAAGTCAGGATGCAGGCAGGGCAGTCCCCAGAGCCTCATGCTTGGCTGGTGCATCCGTCTGTGTTGCCCAGTGGAGCCTGGCTGGGGTGTGGGTGAGGGGGCAGGAATGGAGAGAAGTCCTATGAGCTGCTCTGCTGGGAAGGCAGAGGTGGCTGCGTGTGGGTGGGTTATGGAGAGGGGCCAGTTTCTTATCCACCGTCCCACAGGTCTGGAAGCTGAGAAGGATGGAGTGCCGGTATTCAAGTACTCCCGGTGGCGTGCAAAAGGACAGGCTTTGCCTGATGTGGTGGCAAAATACCAGGCTTTGGGGGCCGAGCTCAACGTCCTGCCCTTCTGCAGCCAATTCATCCCCATGGAGATAATCAGTGCCCCCCGGCATGGCTCCATCATCTATCACCCGTCACTGCTCCCTAGGCACCGAGGGGCCTCGGCCATCAACTGGTGAGATGGGGCAAAAACACAGGGGGCCATCCCCATACATGTCCCTCCATCAGCCTGACTTGTCACTTTCCATTAGCCCAAAGCATTTCTAGGGCTGCAGAGTGGGCATCGTGCAGGTGCCTGTCCTGTGGCTGCCAGATGTCAGCCACAGAACAGGCTGTGCAACGTTATCAATGAGTGAAGGCTCTAGAGCACTGGGAGCAGGTGTTGCTAAGCACTCTGCATTCCCACAGTTATTGGAGAAGCTGGCACTGTCAGTGTTCCCATCCCCCAGCTGAGACAGAGAGGGCACCAGAAGGCGCAGGGACAGAGAGGGCACCAGGAGGCGCAGGGGCCAGGGTGCCACCCCAGGCGGTGGGCTGGGGGTCCTACTCTAACTTCCACTGCCGCTGCTCTGGGCAGCACACTTCGTAGAAAGAGATAAAGATGGAGCAAAGGATGGCCTCCACAAGGTACTCTGAGGGGACAGAATTCCCAAGACAACAAATGGGGTGACAAGGCAGATGGGTGGTCAAAGAGGGAAGACATTTGAGTTGAGAAAAGAGAGTGGATTTGTAGTCGGACTGGTCTGTTGAGATTCAGGCTCTCTGATCTTTGTGGGTGTCGCTTCACTTTTCTGGGCCTTAGTTTCCCTATCTGTAAACCGAGTATACCTGTTATCCCTGCTGTGAGGACTCAGTTACATAAGGCATATAGAGCTTTTAGCACAATTCCTGGCCCATGGTTGTTATCAATACATGCTGTTTTCCTTCTTCCGTTTCCCGCCGGAGCCGGTGTCAGTCCTACCCCTGGGAAGAGAGGGCCTCCTGGAGGGTGGCAGGTCCACGGGCCTGTACCCAGGACATCCTCCGTGGCCCTTCATCGTGGACTCCAGGTTTCACTCTTCTGCTTCCTAGGACCCTCATTCACGGAGATAAGAAAGGGGGGTTTTCCATCTTCTGGGCGGATGATGGTCTGGACACCGGAGACCTGCTGCTGCAGAAGGAGTGTGAGGTGCTCCCGGACGACACCGTGAGCACGCTGTACAACCGCTTCCTCTTCCCTGAAGGCATCAAAGGGATGGTGAGGACCTGGAGCCGGCCGCGCCCTGCCCGCCCCGACGCACCCTCAAGCATCCTCCCTAGACCCAGCCCACCGCTCCTGGAGGCCAGGAATCTGTTCCCCAAATTCAGGATTCTGGAGGGAGAGGAGCTCTCACTTCAAGGTTTCAGAGGCAGGATTAGGACAAACAGTGTATTGTATTAGGAGGGAATCTTGCTCACAACGGACAGAACCCAGCTCAAAAAGCGTTTGGCAAAAAGGGGACATTTTGGGGCCCGTTCAATAGACAAGGAAGGCTAAAGGCAGGGACTGGGTCACACCCTGCTGAATCCAGGAGCTTCAATTATGACATCGTTAGGATTCTATTTCTCTCTCCTTCACTCGTTGATTCTCCTTTTCTCTGTGTGATTTGTTTCATTCTCAGTTTGGCTGCCCTGAATTAGAGGAAAGATAGCCACTATAGCTCAAGGATTCTAATTCTTGATTCCAGGGAAAGAGAAACACTTTTTCTCCTAGAATTCATCAATCACAAATCAGGGGAGATTCTGATTGGCCAGCTTGGGGGTCATGTGATCCTCATGAGCCAATCACCAGCTGGGGTGATGGAGTGCTCTGATAGGCTGTCTCCGTCACATGCTTCCTGCTGGGAAGGCCGTGACCTGTGGTCACATGGCCTGAGCGGCAGGGCGGCTCAGTCACCTGGGCAGCTGGTACTGCTGAGAGGCAGGGTGGCAGGCTATGGGCCGGAGCCCACAGCTGCAGGAGGGGCCCGGGGATCATATGTGAGGGCTGCTTGCCCCTGCCCGAGGACAGGCTGGCAGGGACGGCCACAGGCAGAGGTGCTGTCCAGGCATGCAGCAGGAGGGAAGGAGGCCCTGGGGAGCCCTTGCTGTTTGGGCGCAGCAGGAAGAGCAGCTGCAGTGTCCACTGTCCCCTCGTCCTCCTCAGCTCCTGGCCACTGCCTTTTATTTTTCGGTTGTGTTAAACTTGTCTTCCCCACAGATTGACCAGCTCACAAAAATAGTGAACAAAGTAGAGTTGCTGGAGATTTAGTGGTACAGAGAGGGAGCTTACCTGTGCTTCCCACGGCAAGCAACTCAAATACTCCTTGAAGCTGCACTGTCCAACAAGGCAGCCACTGGTAACATGCAGCTATTAAATCAATTAAAATGAATTATACTGAAAAATTCAGTTCCTCAGTCTCAGCCACATTCTAAGTCCCCTGGCCACCGTGTTGGACCGTGCAGACTTGGAACTCATCCATCACCACAGAGGGCTCCATTGGGCAGCCCTGCCTCAGATGCTCTGACACCCGGTCACTTCCCATTCTTGGCACCTCCCGGTCTCTTCCCTCAGGCTCTTGCTCACGTGGGCCCAGACTCCTTGGCTCTCCTTCTCCCTCTCTGATTCCTTTCCCACCACCTTCCTCTTTCCTGTCACAGAGAAACAACTTCCTGCTTCATCTCAGACCTCCAAACTTCCACCTTCAAGCCCACCACGGGGCTCAGGACCCACTCTCTTTAAAGGCAGAGAAGGCTTAGACAGCAACATGGACATTTGTGTCTGTGTTATACCTGCAGGGCTTTACAGTTTATATAATCATCTAAGATATCAGAAGATGTAAGATCTATGTAATCTAAACCTTTGCCAGGTAGAGAGGACGGGTCTGTGTCCGTTGTGCAATAGAAGTTAGGTTCACGCTGACTCCCTTGTTCATATGGCAGGTGTTTCTTGGGTGACTGCTGTGTACCAGGCAAGTCTGGTCAGTCTGGGGAAGGGTCCAGGCTCAATGTGGGCCCTGGGGCTGGGAAGGAGGCAGGGTCCTATTGCTGGGGATAGCAACCCACTGGATCTCCCCAGGTGCAGGCCGTGAGGCTGATCGCTGAGGGCAAAGCCCCCAGACTCCCTCAGCCTGAGGAAGGAGCCACCTATGAGGGGATTCAGAAGAAGGAGACAGCCAAGGTGAGTGCTGGGTCCCTCCACACCCTCATCCTGCCTGTGAGCAGACTGGGGTTGTAGAGGGCAGCCTGAGGAGGCTGGGGTTCAGCCCAGATGGTGCAGGTTGTAATTCTTTGAGGCCAGAACACAGGGCAGCCCAGGTCAGGGATGCATGAAGAGAGCCGTGGAGGAGGAGGACCCTGGCACCTGGGAGGGTAGCGAACAGGGTCCATTCCAGGTTCTTTCCTGTTCCTCTTTAGGAGGAATGGGCAGACAAAGCCCACAGGGAGATAAGAGTGGGAGTTAGGGGGCAAAACGTCAGCCGTAGTGCGAGCAGTCTTCAAGGCAAGGTGTGAGGGACAGTGCGGGTCTCTGGAGCAATAGCCAGTGGAGGAGCCTCAGAAGCCTGTAGGCTGTGTCTCAGCTCAGGAGTATGGGTTGCTGTGTGGGGACCCACAGGGGCCCTGCCAGTGAAAGGTTGGGCCCTATGGGACGGGCCTGAGTACATTGTGCTGGGGCCTCTGTGTAGGGTCTGGGCCATCTTGACAGCAACAGAACATTATCTTCCCCAAACCATTCTGAAGTCTGCTCAGCCCATGAGAGACTGAGGGTCAGAGAGCACCCAGAACTAGGGGCACCAGCTCAGGGACTCCTGCAAGTGTCTAAGAGGAAGCTGGGGTTACCAGCTGTCTCACAAGAGCTTGGTCCACTGTCCAGATGTCATCAGGGTGGGAGGGGAGTGAGGAGAGACCAGCTGAGCACACACACCTTGCTCCCCACAGATCAACTGGGACCAGCCGGCAGAGGCCATTCACAACTGGATCCGCGGGAACGACAAGGTGCCGGGAGCCTGGACAGAGGCCTGTGAACAGGTGTGTCCCTGCATGGCTGGAATCCAGCCACGTGCATTGGTGTATCCCACTGGCCATTAAACTGTCACACATGTTTGAACTGGTTGGTATAATAAATAGCTACTGCCCTGGCCCCTACTCCCACTGGGTGCCCCCTAAACATCCCAGCCTTTCCCCAGGAGTGAGAGACCTACCCAGCCTGCAGTAGCTAAAGGATAGATGTCCTGCGTAGCTGGAGGCCTCCAGGCCCTTGTAGTGCCCCTGGGGCCCAGCTGTATTGGTGGTGAAATATTTTGAGTCTCACCACTGGGCTTGCGGAGACCCCAGGCCCAGTACTCACTCTGACTTGGCCTCAGGCAGGGTGGAGCAGCACATTCAGGGCCAGGCTGACCGTGGGCAGGCCAGATGCTGAAGATGGGGAGACTTGGGGGTCACAGGCTCTAGTGAGGCATCAGGGGTGGCGGGACTGTGTGTGGTGGACTTTGTGCAAACCTTGAGGGCAGTCTTGTCCCCCACACAGTCTCAGACTCTCCAGACCCCTGACCCCCAGCCGACTGCCCAGACTGTGGCCAGAAGCCTCTCTGCTGTCCTCATCAACGCAGAGCCCTTTGTACTAGCAAATGCATCTTCTGATCAAAGCAACCACTCCTTGGCAGCACCCTGAAGGCAGGTAGCCTCATTCCGTGATGCCTGGAGCACATTCTCCCCCAGTCTGTGCACCTCAGGTCTGAGGCCATGGGCCAAGGAGAAGGGTCTTATGGCAGAGTTGAGGCAGACCTGCCATCAGCTCCCTGAGGCCACTGAGGCTCCTCCAGGTCTTGTTTGTGCCCCAGGAGAAAGGGCCTCAGGGGTCACATGGGCTTTGAGCCGGCTCCCAGGTCTCAGCTACCCCTGGCCCCTCTCCCTCTCCCAGCCCTGCTCAGACCTGCCTGGGCTACTGGCTTCGGGGGCTTCTTCTCACCCACCATCTTCTGATATTTCTCCCCTTGACAGAAACTGACATTTTTCAACTCAACGCTGAACACTTCAGGCCTGGTGCCCGAGGGAGACGCTTTGCCCATCCCAGGAGCCCATCGGCCAGGGGTGGTCACCAAAGCAGGACTCATCCTCTTTGGGAATGATGACAAAATGGTAAGGGCACGGCTGTGGGTCACTTGCCTGCTCAAAGCCACCCATGCTCCTGTCCTTGGACTCAGGCCTCACAGGAAGACCCTAGGCTCCTCTGGAGAAAATGGAAAAAACCAGACCCAGGAAGGAACACTGACCCTGATTTGTCCCTGACCACCCGGCTGGTCCTGAGCACAGGGTGTCCGAGGCAGTTTACCCACTTCTCTGTTCTGGGAAAGCTGGGCTCCCTACCCTTCCTGGCTAGGCACCCATCTCCAGGCTGAGTGCCCTGTGTGGGTGTCAGGCAACCTAGAATCAGAGAGAAGCCCTCCCAGGGAGCCTGGGTTCAGGGCCTCTCTTTGGTCTATCAGAAACACCTCTGGGTGTGGGGTCATTAAGCCTCTGTGCCTCAGCTCCCATCTCTTTGAACGGCGATGCCATGGTAACTTAGCACGTGCAGAGCCTTGGGAGCCATGCCGGCCACCTGCTCTTGTTATTAGCAGACTACAACTCACGGTACCAGCAAACACTGATGGAGCACCTTTTATACCAGAACAATGTATATGCGTTAAATTTAATCTGCCTAACAACACTATGAGATATGTATAAATATTATATCCTTATAGAGGAAAAAAACAGAGATTTAAATAACTTGTCCAGGATCATCCAAGCTAGCCCGTGGCAGAGCTGGGATTCAGACTCTGAAATTCTGGCTCCAAAGCCGTGATGCTGGTCTTGGCCATGGTAGCTTCCTGTTCATATGCACTCTACTACTCCTTCTCACATGAGCAGCCGGGGGTAGGGAGAGGGCAGGCAGGGATCTTCCCACACACTGACAGGGTCCGGACAAACCCCATGGGCGTGGTACCCCCAGCCGTGTTGCTGTGTCCGGCCTACCAGAGTGAGGCGTGGCAGTATGGGGCCTGGCCTTTGCTCGCTCTTGGTGTCCAGTCTGCCATGCTCCCCTGTCAGAAGGTCTAGGCTGCTGTTGATGTCTGCAATGTAGTGTTTTGGGTATCCAAGATTGATATATGCAGTTGCAAGAGAATATCTGTCTGTGGTCAGGTTCCCTAGAAGCAGCATCTAAGGTAAAAATTCTTGTGCAAGTGATTTATTGAGGGAATGTTCCAGAAAATCATGCGAGGCAGTAAGGGCAGAGGAAAGCAAAGCAAAAGTAAAGGTTCAGGAGAAGTCTAGCCTGGGGCTGCTCCCAGGGTGGGTTTTGGAGTATTAACTGCACCCTCCAATTATACCTGCCTGTCCCCACCTCTGTCAGCCTTTGGTTTCAGTGGCCCCTGGGGTGGGGTGGAGGACCCACCAGGCATAATCCCTCGGCCTCTTTGTGTACAGGAGCTCTTATCCATCCACAGCAAGCAAGGATGGGACAGTGCAGGCCGTTATCATCCAGCCCTTGCTGCAGCTGGAGGACAGGGCACCAGCCACAGGGGTCTGAGCAGGGCACCCACAGCATCTGTCCAGAGACCTGCAAAGACAGGAATGCAAAGAAGGCAATTAAGTGTCTTAAGAGGAAGCTGGGGTTATCAGCTCTCTCACAAGAGCTTTGTCCACTGTCCAGAGGTGGTCAGGGTGGGAGGGGAGTGAGGAGAGACCAGCTGAGCACACACACCCTGCTCCCCACAGATCAACCCAGAAGACCCTGGGTTGAAGCATCTCTCAGCCACGCCCTGTGGAGTCTGGCTGGGCTTTAGCTTGCAGAAAGCTCCAGAACATCTTTGAAAGGCAATGGGGCGAGGGTCAGGCCGAGAGGCAAGTTCCAGTTCTGGCAGAGCATGCATACAGAGTACCATTCTTACACAGCCACTCTTAACGCACAGTGACATGCACCCACCCATGAGCTTATCCATAACTCTTTTTGTACATGTGTTTTTTTTCCTGGCCCCTAACAAAAGCATTTGTTGAAAAACTATTGATAAACAAGCAGGCCCCAAACAATTCAAACATCTTATTAAATACAGTAAATCTGAGGCAGACACTAGAGTAGCCCAGAGTCATGAGCTACAATGGGGGCAGTTCATGTCTGGCAGCCAGAATCCCCTTGAACTGATGGCTGGACGCAGGCTCTACCTGGGACCAGCTTGAAGTGCTATCCTGAAGCTGCAGACTGCAGGGCCGGCCAGACCCTTTTTCAGCCTCTCCTCTTCCCACCTCTGTATCCCACACAGGCATCTGGTGATGTTCTCCAGGTGTTTCTGTGGCAGTTCTGGGAGCTACTGGGTGATTGCAAGATTAGTTTTTTTTTCTAAGTTGACTTTCTATGTGGTGCCTGAATGACGTTTTCTTTTTTTGTTCAGTAGGAATCCTTTTTTATAGAAGTAATAAAGTCATTACACTTAAAAACAAAGTGAAAGTGTGGTGGGAGTGGGTGATGGAAAATCGAGCAGCTGGTAGGGGACACAAGCTCTGCAATTCCCTCTGTGTCCCTGGAATAGTGGCCTCCCCACTCTGAACTCATCACTAATCTGAGACTCCCTGCTTCTTCCTCATCTGAAGGTTGGAGACAAGGCTGGAGCGCCCAGCACAGCACCCCTTGTGGGACACCTTCATCACTGCCTCAGGTCCGACCACAGGAACTGTGAAATCCTTCCTTTTGGCCGGGCGCAGTGGCTCATGCCTGTAATCCCAGCACTTTGGGAGGCCAAGGTGGATGGATCATGAGGTCAGGAGTTCGAGACCAGCCTGACCAATGTGGTGAAACCCCGTCTCTACTAAAAATACAAACAAAAATTAGTCGGGCATGGTGGTGCGCGCCTGTAATCCCAGCTATTCAGGAGGGCTGAGGCAGGAGAATCGCTTCAACCCGGGAGGCGGAGGTTGTAGTGAGCCGAGATCGCACCACTGCACTCCAGCCTGGGCAACAGAGCAAGACTCTGTCTCAAAAAAAGAAAAGAAAAGAAAAGAAATCCTTCCTTTTGCAGCTGCTGGTGAAGAATATTCAGCTGGAGGATGGCAAAATGATCCTGGCCTCGAACTTCTTTAAGGGGGCAGCCAGCAGTGTCCTTGAGCTGACAGAGGCAGAGCTGGTTACTGCGGAGGCTGTGCGGGTAAGAGGCAACTTCAGGGCTGCCATCCAGTTGGGCAGGTTGTGCCGTGCACATGTGTTCTGCAAATCACACTCCCCAGAGTTGGGCAGCGCCAGCCCTCTGTGGGTGTCTGTTTTGGCTCCAGGTGCAGTGTTGGTTCTATCTCGTCTTGGAGCTTTCTGTTGTCTTCTTGCTGCTCCTTCCTCTGCAACTGGGGCCCTGGGATCTGGCCAGTTCAGTCTGACTCTTCTAGGGGCTCATTGTCAACACTTAATAAGTGAAACAGAAGCTCCTGGAATATTTGAAAGAGTCAGGTGTCAAGCCCATGTCCCTGTGATTAGAATGTGAGCACTGGAGCCTTCCAGAAAGGCTGCACCAGAGGCAGCATCCCGGGCTGTGACCAACACAAGCTGCCCATAAGGCACACCTGGTCTCCAATCCAGCTTTGCCCCAATATGATGCTGTAGGGAGCTTTCGTCTCTAAGACTCAGTCTTCTCAACATGAATTTCCATCCATGCTCACTTCCTGGAATTTGTTCCTGACCCTTCATGCTCCCTCCCACTGTATCCTTCTTCCCTGGGTGGAGAGAAGAGATCTGGGGGAAGACCTTCAAGAGAGAAGGAACAGCAAATGGCAAGGCCCTAACAGGGCAGAGGCCTCCCTGTGTTCAGGGAGTCACCATGGGAGGGCACTGTAGCTGGAGCCCAGGGGGTGAGGGGCAGAGTCAGGTGGGCACAGCTGGGGACCTTGGGTGTTAACAGCACATGTGCGGCAAGGCTCAGCAAGGATGGACATGAGGCATTTGTGTGATCCAAAGGTGCTGAGAGCCAGCAACTTCCTTCTTGAAAGTGGAACACCTTGAAGGTCTGTTTAAAAAAAATCCTATTTATTCCAAAGATATCCCTGGAGCAGTTGCTCTGGCCCTGACTTGGCCTGCCCTGGTGTTGCAGGGCCAGCTGGACAGACAGCCCTCCTGGAGCCCACAGCTGAGTGGCTCTGGGGATGAGCTGGGGTCATCGTTTGTAGATGTAGACCTGAGTCAAACGATGCTATCTTACAACAGCTGCAGCCAAGTCCTGCATCTGTAAAATGGGAATAACAAGCCCTTCCTCAATGGAGGATTGGTAGAGGAGATAACACACATGAAGAGGTTTAGTTCAGTAGCTGGCATCTTTGAGGAACTCAGTACACATCGGCAATACGTCTAAGCATCTCATGAGAAAAGCAGATACTTCTGGAGTGTGTACTGTGGACAAAAGTTCTCAGAAAATGAGTTTGGAGAACAGAGACTTTATTCCAGTGACCAGTTTGCAAACCGTCCAAAGGCAGCTTCTGGTGTAACAGGAAGGTGCATTCCTGAGAACAACGGGAAGGGTGGGGTTTTATAGCAAAAGCTCTCACCCAGGTTCCCATGCAAAGGAAGGGTTGAAACCAGTTCTAATTGGTTGGTACAGCTGAGCCCTGATTGGCTGGTTCAGGTGAGCTCTGAAAGACTCAAAGATAAAAAGGTGCAGGTTTTAGGGGAACCTAGAGTACATGTGTGACCCCCTAGACAGCAAGTGTCCACTTGGCTCTGTTTTAAATTTAGGCCCAGTTTGCTGCTGGGGATCCATCTTGAAGGATTGGCTATTTCAGGTTTGCATTTGTTCACCGTGCACATTCAGAGTTCCAGATCCTCCTGGAAGAGCGGCGTGTTTATTCATGATAACAACTCTATGCAGTAGGTGCCCTCAGTACCTGCAGGTCTCAGCTGTGGAGCCAAGGCCTGAGGAGTGGAGTCCGGGCTCTGGAGGGCTGGGCTCAAGTCCTCCTCTAGCTGTTCACCGTGCAGCCCCCTAAGGCCATCGCTAGGATGGCTATCATTAGGCCTCTTGCTCACAGCTGCACTCGGCCTCCAGGATGTATGGTCTGGAGACCGATGTGATAGAGGGGACATGGCCAAAACGAGGGGAGGCCAGTCTGGGGCTGTGCAGCTCCCCGGTGTTGGTGGAGGGGCCTGGCCTGTGGCTGTTCAGGAGAACGCTCCAAGAGCCTGCTGTGGGCTCGGCAGGTAGTGGGCCACAACCCCCTATGCCTTCATGAGCTGAGGCTGGGCAGTTGCTGCCCATGGCAGAAACGTTGTGTTTGCTGACTCTCCCTGTAGTCCAGACTCTCTGCCTGCCTCACACACGGAATCCTTACACAGCTGCTGTCAGCACTGAGGGGCTGCCTGCATTTTCATGGCTTGGTGGGCTTTGGCTTTGTGGTGCACTCAGTGACCAGTCTGCCGCACTGCCCCTTTGTGGCTCCACTCTCATCTGATAAGGGCCCTGGACGCTAGCAGGTGCCATCCAGTAGGGGACAACTGGTGGCCCCAAGCGGTGTGGTCTGAGGCAGGTAGATCCTGCCAGTAGAGTAGCCAGCAAAGGTTTTGGGGAAGAGGTGACACAGGAATTGGACCCTTAAGGATGCCCAGGACTTAAATATTAGCTGGGGAGTCAGGGGAAGGTGTCGCCAGCAGGTGAGAGCCTAGCAGAGACCTCGAGGGGCAGGCAGCAGGTGTGTGGCAGACAGTGCGTGGCTTGGTGTGGTGTTGATGCTCGCCCTGAGGATGGGAAGGGCAGATCCATGACATTTTTCCAAGAAAGAAAGAGGAGAGCCGGGGGTGCTTGTGCCAGGGGTTGGGGGAACTGGTTCTGATTGGGCCTGGACCAGCATCTCATGCCTCACCCCCAACCTGGGCCCATGATTGACAATGGCCTGGAGTTCATCCAGAGAGTGGGGACCTGGCCTGATATTGCTGGGGCCCCTCCTGACTCCTGCCCCACTGGGCCTCACCAGCAGCCTGCCCAGAGAGCAGTCATCCCATCTTGACTGCTGGACAGCCTTACTGGGTGCCTTAGTGGGAGCTGAGCACCCACATCCACAGGGCCAGCTGGCTGGGCACTGCTGCCCTCCATAGGTCCCAGACTGAATCCTTCAGAGGACACAGACCAGTTAGCATCTTGGTGAGGTCAAGACCCAGGTCTCCTGAACCCATCTGTGAGCCTCATAGTCACCTTCAGGCCCACCCTGTCTCCAGCCTGCTGCTACAACACCCGGGCATCGGTGTCACACTAGGGACACCAGAACCTGGGCGCTAGCACCAAGGTGAGTGGGGGTCAGGAGCAGCTGGGCCCCACCTTCCTAGTCCCCAGCCATGCCTAGAGGCCTGGCACATCTGTCCTCCATCAGCTGGACTGTCATGGGGACCCCAGAGAAGCTGGGGGTTGAGGTGAGGTGGGCATGAGGACAGCAGCCAGCATCAGAGGGCCCTGGGATGTGGCAGCTCCTTCTTTCCCAGAAGGTGGTCACTCCAGGACCATTAAGCCTCCTGGGATGAGGCAACAACTTGGAGGTACATAGAGAAGCCCAGCCTGGCCCCAGGCCATCCATGAGTCTGTTCAGGGGTTGTTGTCCTGGAGTGGCACTTGTCCCCAGCTCCCCTGGGGCCAGCCTCTCATCAGGTCTTGCTTTGCAGAGTGTTTGGCAGCGGATCCTCCCCAAAGTCCTGGAGGTTGAAGACTCCACTGATTTCTTCAAGTCAGGGGCCGCGTCTGTGGACGTTGTGAGGTAAGGCCAGGAGTGGAGGGGTCCTGTCCCAGGTACTTGGTGCTGTGTCACAAATCTCTGCAAAACTGAGCAGCAGGAAACA
This sequence comes from Homo sapiens, assembly GCF_000001405.40. Lineage (NCBI taxonomy): Eukaryota > Metazoa > Chordata > Mammalia > Primates > Hominidae > Homo > Homo sapiens. The sequence continues at coordinate 126,146,752 of NC_000003.12, read as the reverse complement.
ACCATTTGTTACACTCATGGATCATGTGGGCCAGGGACCCAGGAAGGGCCAGTGTGCAGGTCTGCGTGCACACATGGTGGGCAGCACAAATGAATGGTTGCAGGTCTTTATGCAAATGTTAAGGGGGCGTAGTTGCATGCAGCCTCTCTGGGGAAGTTCTAGGAGGGAATTTGGGAGGAGTTGATTCAGAAGAACAGTACTGAGTTCATAGGGAGAATTAGGGTTATGTATTGTGCCAACCATTTGTGCTGTGCAACAAAGCACCCCAAAACATTGAGATTTAAACCAACACCATATCCTTAGCTCACAGTACTATGGTTCGACAGTTTGTGCTGGGCTCAGCTGATTTGCATCAGATTCAGCTGCTGTCAGCTGGGCTCACATAAGGGCGGGATCTGCCAGGTCAGCTGGGGGCTGGCTGGTCCTGTGGTGGTGGTGGGTTCCAGGAGGGAGAGCGGGAGCCCAGGGAGGGGGTCTCAGAGTGAGCACGTTGTGTTCATTGCATTCTGTTGGCCAAAATGAGTCACAGAACAGGTCCAGCTTCCAGGGTTGGGGAAAGAAACTCCACATCTTGCTAGCAGGTGCTGCACCTTCACATGGCCAAGGCTGTGACTGCAGGGGTGGGCATTGTGACCAGTTTTGCAATTGACCATGCATATGAGTTGGGGCTGAGTGGGCTGAGTTGGGCCTATGTGCTTGGCACTGTGGACCTCTAGTAACTCACTGTGAGGCAGTATGCAGTTTGTAATAATTGTTTTGTAAAAAATATGCCAAGAAGAAGAATGCCAGACACCTGAGAGAATGGTGTCCAGAGGCCAGGCCATGCCTTGTGTACAGCTACCGAGCTGAGGATGCAAAGAAAGCAAAACTGCTTTTCTGTAAATAGTTAAGAGTATATGTCCTTTTAAAAAAAATGTGGCAAAAAAACACATAATACAACATCTACCTTCTTAAAATTATAGCTGTATATTGTAGGATTGTTAACTATGAGCACAGTGTTGGTCAGCAGATCTTTAGAACTTTTTCTCGCACAACTAAACCTTTCTGTCCGTTGAACAGCCACTCCCCATTTCCTTCTCCCTAGCCCCAGCAACAGCCATTCTTTTTGCTCTGATGAGCTTGGCCACTCTAGTACTTCATACAAGTGGAATCATGCAGCATTTGTCCTTCTGTGACTGGCTTTTTACGCTTAGCATGATGTCCTCAAAATTCAGCCCTTTTGTAGCACATGGCAGGACTGCCTTCTTTTTATGGCTGAATCCTATTTCATTGTACAGATAGACCATATTATCTGCTCATCTGTTGATGGACATTTGTGTTGTTTCCACATCTTGGCTGTTGTGAATCAATGTGGAAGTGCATGGGAATTTGAGATCAGTTCTTTTGGACAAATACCCAGCAGTGAGATTACTGGGTCATATGATAGTTCTTCTTTTAATTTTTTCAGGAACCTCCATATCATTCTCCACAGAGGCTGCACCATTTTACATTCCCACCAACAGTGCACAAAGGTTCCATTTTTCCCATATCTTTGCCAATGCTTACTTTCATTCCTATCTTCCTTCCTCTCCCCTTTTCTTCTTTCCTTTTGAACAATAACCATCCCAACAGTGATGAGATGGTATCTCATTGTAGTTTTTATTTTCATTTTCCTGATGATTAGTGATGTTGAGCATCTTTTCATATACCTGTTGGTCATGTGTATGTCTTCTTTGGAGAAATGTCTATTCAAGTCTTTGCCCATTTTTAAATTGGATTATTTGTTTTGTTTGCTATTGAGTTGTAGGAACTCCTTATATGTTTTAGGAATTAACCTCTTATCAGATACATGGTTTGCAGAAGTTTTCTCGCATTCCATGCTGATTGTTTCCTTTGCTTTGCAGAAGCTTTTTACTTTGATGCATATGACTTGTATATTTTTGCTTTTGTTTCCAGTTCTTTTGGTGTGATATTCAGGAAATGATTGCAAAGACCAATGTCATGGAGACTTTCCCCTATGCTTTCTTCTAGTTTTATAGTTTTAAGTCTTAAGTTTTTCATATATTTTGAGTTGAATATTTTTATGTGTGGGGCAAGATAAGGATCCGATTTAATTATTTTGCATGTGGACATCCAATCTTTCCAACATCACTTGTTGAAGGGACTATCGCTTCCCCATTATGTATTCTTGGCACCCTTGTTGAAGATTAGTTGGCCATATATGTTTAGGTTTATTTCTAGGCTATCTTGTTCATTGGTCTATATATCTGTGTTTATGCCAGTATCATACTATTTTGATTATTGTAGTTTTGTAGTAAATTTTGAAATCAGGAAATGTGAGTCCTCTAACTTTGTTCTTTTTCAGGATTGTTTGAACTATTCACAGTCCCTTGATAGTCCATATGATTTTAAGATGATTTTTGTAATTTCTGCAAAAAATCACTTGGGATTTTAATAGAGTTGGCATAAAAATTGTACATAACTTTGGGCAGTATTGTCATCTTAACAATATTAACTTCTCCAGTCCATGAACACAGATGGCTTTCTATTTATTTAGATCTTCTGTAATTTTTTTCAGCAGTGTTTTGTAGTTTTCATTGTACAACTCTGTTGGCTACTTGGTTAAATTTATTCTTATTTTATTCTTTTGATGCCATTGTAAAGGGAATTGTTTTATTAATTTCCTTTTTGGATTGTTCATTGCTAATTTATGGAGTTGCAACTGTTTTTTTGCATGTTATTTTTGTATCCTGCAATTTTGCTGAATTCCTTTATTAGCTCTAACAGTTTTTTGGAGGTGCAGAATATTTAAAGTTTTCTTTTTCTGTTTTTTAGACATGGTCTTGCTCTGTCACTTAGGCTGGAACAGTGGTTTGATCATAGCCCAATGCAGCCTCAAATTCTTGGGCTCAAGTGATCCTCCTGCCTCAGCCTCCTGAGTAGCAGGACTGCAGGCATGCACCACTACACCTAGCTAACTTAAAACAATTTTTTTTACAGACAAAGTCTTGCTATGTTGCCCGGGCTGATTTTGAACTCCTAGGCTCAAGTGATCCTCCCACAGTGCTTGAATTACAGGGTGAGGCGTTACACTTGGCCCATTTAAAGATTTCTACATGTAAGATCATGTTATCTGTGATGAGATATGATTTAACTTCTTCCTTCACAATTTGGATTAATGTTTCTTTCTTGCCTAATTGCCTTGGATGGAACTTCCAGTACAGTAGTCTCCCCTTATTTGTGGTTTTGCTTTCTGAAGTTTAAGTTACCCATGGTCAATCATGGTTGGAAAATATTAAGTGGAAAAGTCCAGAAATAATTCATACGTTTTTAAATTGAGAGCCATTTGATAGAATGATGAAATCTCATGCTGTCCCGCTCCATCCCACCTGATACGTGGATCACCCCTTTGTCCAGGATATCCATGGTGTATGCACTGCCCACCCATTAGTCACTTAGTAGCCACTGGTGTTATCAGAAAAAACATAGAATATATAGATGGTCCCAGACTTATGATGCTTCAACTTAGGATTTTTTGACTTTATGATGGTGTGAACATGATACGAATTCAGTAGAAATTATGCTTTGTGTACCCTTACAAAATTCTGTTTTTCACATTCAGTACAGTGTTCAATAAATTGTATGAGATACTCAAAACTTTAGTATAAAATAGGCTTTGTGTTAGATGAGTTTCCCAACTGTAGGTTAATGTAAATGTTCTGAGAACATTTAAGGTAGCCTAGGCTAAGCGCTGATGTTCAGTATGTTAGGTATATTAAATGCATTCATGATTTAACATTTTCAATTTATAATGGGTTTTTGGGATGTAATCATATCATAAGTCAAGGAGCACAGTGTAAGGTTCAGCCCTATATGTGGTTTCAGGCACTCACTGGGAGCCTTGGAACAACCCCAACCCCCGACCCTGCCCGTGGGTAAGGAGGAACTACTATAGTGTATTGAATGGAAGTGGTGAAAGCAAGCATCCTCATTTTGCTGCTGATCTCAGGGGAAAGGCTTTCAGTCTTTCACCACTGAGTATGTTAGCTGTGGATTTTTCAAATATGGCCTTTATTATATAAAGGATGTTCCCTTCTATTCTTAGTTTGAGTGCTTTTTAATCATGAAAGGATATTGAATTTTGTCAAATTCTTTTTCTGCATTAAATGAGATGACCATGTGTTTTTCTCTTCATTCCATTAATGTGGTATGTTACACTGATTGATTTTCATAGGTGAAGTATCCTTGCATTCCAAGAATTAATCCCACTTGGTCATGGTATGTAATATTCTTAAAATGCTGCTGAAATCAATTTGCTAGTATTTTGTTGAGGATTTTTGCATCAGTTTCCATAAGGGATATTGGTCTGTAGCTTTCTTTTGCTGTAGTATCTTTGTCTGGCTTTGGTCTCAGAGTAAACGCTGGCCTTATGGACAGAGTTGAAGATGTGTTCTCTTCTCAGTTTTTTGGAAGAGTTTGAGAAAAATTGGTGTTACTTTCCCTTCAAATGTTTGGTAGAATTCACCAGTGAAATCATTCAGCCCTGGGCTTTTCTTTACTGGAAAGATTTTGATTACTGATTCAGTTTCCTTACTAGTTATATATCTATTCAAATTTTCTGTTTCTCCATGAGTGAGTTTTGGTAGATTGTGTGTTTCTGGGAATTTGTTCACTTTACCTAGTTATCAAATCTGTTGCCATATAATTTATCATGTATTTTCTTATGATGCTTTTTATTTCTGTAAGATTGGTATAATGTCTCCCTTTGATTTCTGATTCTAGTAATTTGAGCCTTCACTTTTTGTTTCTTGGTCAGTCAGATAAAGGTTTGTTAATTTTGTTGATATTTTCAAGAAATCTAAATTTGATTTTGTTGATTTGCTGTTTTTTTTTCTGGTCTCTATTTCATTTATCTCTGTTCTAATCTTTATTATTACTTCCTTCTGCTAGTTTTGGGTTTAGATTGCTTTTTAATCTCATTCCTTAAGGTGTACAGTGTAGGTTACTGATTTGAGGACTTTATTCTTTTCTAAGTATGTATTTACACCTGTAAACTTCTTTCTTAGCACTACTTTCCCCGCCTCTCATAAGTTTTGGTATGTTGTGTTTTTATTTTCCTTTGACTAAAGGTATTTTCTAGTTTCTCGTGTGTTCTTCTTTGACCCATTAATTGTTTAAGAGTGTGCTAGCTCATTTTCATATCTTTATGGATTTTCCAGATTTCTTTCTGTTATCGATTTCTAGTCTCATTCCATTTTGATTAGGAAAGATATTTTGTAAGAGTTCAATATTTTTACATGTGTTAAGACTTATTGTGTAGCCTAACAAATGATTTATCATGAAGAATGTTCCATGTAACCTTGAAAAGAATGTGTGCTCTGTTCTTCTTGAGCAGTGTTTTGTACATATCTGATTGGTTTGTGGTGTTCAAGTATCTTATTCTCTTGAGTTCTATCCATTTTTGAAAGTTGGGCATCTAAGTAGCTAACTACTATTGTAGAAATGTCCATTTTTGCTTCATATATTTTAGGGCTGTGTTAGGTGTGTATGAATTTATAATTGTTATATCCTCTTGCAGCATCAAACTTTGTATCAATATAATGTCCTTCTTTGTGTCTTGTAAACTTGTTAGATTTAAAGTCTCTTTTATGTTACTATTTGCATGGAATATTTTCTCTATCCTTTTACTTCCAGCTCTTTTGTATCATTATATCTAAGTGATTCTCTTGTAGCATATGTATGGATGCTGGGTTTTATCCAGTCATCCAATTTGTGCCTTCTCATGTTTAAACTTTAAATAGATTAAACAGGAGAGTTTAATCCATTTACATTTAACTTGGTTACTAATAAATAAAGATTTATTTCTGCCATTTGTTTTCTGAATGTCTTATTTTTTTGTTCCTCAGTTTCTCTATACTGTCCTTTTTTGTATTTGGTAATTTTTTTTGTAGTGTATCACTTTGATTCCCTTCTTTCTTTTACTGTATGTTTTTAGTTATTTCTGGGTTGTTACTTAGGGATTACAATTAACATCTTAAATTTATAACAAGGTAGTTTGAATAATATCAACCTAGCTTCAATAGTATACAAACACTCTCATTCTATACATCTCTTTTCCTTCCCCTTTATAGTGTTACTGTCACAGTGTACATTTTTATACATTGTATACCCATTAATATATATTTAAAATTATTGTTTTATGCACTTGCCTATTGTCATATAGGAAAAAGAGAGAAGTTACAAACCACAATAAAATACAATAATATGGACTTTCATACTTACCTATGTAGTGGCCTTTACCTGTGTTCTTTATTTTTAATTGTGTCATCAAGTCTATGGTACTTTTATCTCAGCCTGAAAGACTCTTTTCAGCATTTCTTCTAGGGCAGGTCTACTGGTAACCAATTTCTTCAGCTTTTGTTTCTATAGAAATATCTTAATTTCTGTTTCATTCTTGAAAGATAGTTTTGATGGATATGGAATTCGTTGTTGCCATTTTTCCCCAAAACTTTTAATATGTTATCCAACTGCTTTCTGGCCTTTAAGGTGTTTTAGTGGAAGTCAGCTTTTAATCTTATCAAAGACCCATTGTATATAACAAGCCATTTCTCTCTTGCTACTCTCCAAATTATTTATTTGTCTCTGAATTTCAACAAGCTGGGTGTAATGTGCCTTGGTGTGGATCTCTTTGATCCTGCTTGGACTTCATTCATTGTATGTCTTAGATGTGTATATTCATTTCTTTCCTCATGTTTGGGAACTTTGGGGCCACTATTTCTTCAAATACATATTTAGAGAAACCTTTTTCTCTTTTTTCCTCTGGAGCTCCTGTGAGTATGTTGGTGTGTTTCATGGTATCCTATAAATCCTTCAGGCTCTTTTCATTTTTCTTCATTCTTTTTTCTTTCTGCTTCTCAGACTGGATAATTTCAAGTTTGCTCATCTTTCCTTCAGCCTGCTCAAAACTACTGTTGAACCTCTTTAGTGAGTTTTTTGTTTGTTTCAGTTATTCTACTTGCCAGCTCAAGAATTTCTATTTGACTTGTTATTATAGTTTCTGTCACTTCGATATTCTCATTTTGTTCATACATCACTTTCTTGATTTCCTTTAGTTTTTTGTCCATAATTTCCTTTGTCTCATTGAACATATTTAAGGCATTTGACATAATGTCTTTGACCAATAATTCCGATATCTGATCTTCCTCAGGGGTACCTTCTTCAAATTATTTTTTGTTCCTGTGAATGGGCTCTTCTTTCCTATTTCTTCATATGTTTTGTAGATCTTTCTTGGTCATAACTGGACATTTTGGGTGTTATGTTGTGGTAATTCGGGAAATATATTTCTCCCACTTATTAGGGATTATTGAATCTTCCTTGTTGAGGGCTAGAACTGTCTGTTTGTGACTTTTCCAAATTATTTTTTGCAAGGTGTGTTCCTTATTGTGTGTTGTCGTTGAACTTTCTGTTCCATTGTTCCTGCAGTCAGCCAGTGACCTAACAAAGATTTCCATAAATGTCTGGCTACCAAAGTGGAGGGAAAGTATTGCCTTTTAAAATCTCCTAGAAGCTACTTCAGCCTGTGAGGGTTGAAACAATGACTGCCAGCCTTTGTGATAGCTTCTCAGCAATCAAAAGGAATATCAGTGCTCAGGACACAATGCTGGTGGTCAGAGGACAAGGTCCTTATTGCCCACCCTGGCTTCAGCAAGCTGCGTCTGGAATATGACCCAGCCCTGCTTCAACTTTTTGTGGCAGAGGTGGGAGGTGGGGGGTGACAGCCAATATCTTATGAGAGGCTGAAAATCATTTAAATTGATTGACATTTACCAGCTTCTTTACCAGTCTTTCTCCTTGGTGCTGAAAGCATTTGACTAGACCCCAAAGTTCCAACATATTTGATTCATGTAAGTTCCATAGTTATTTAGATAAGGGGATACATTTTTGGAGCTTCTTGTTCTGCCATCTGCTGTCTAGACATTGGCCTTTATTTCTTTTGGATAAATACTTGAGAGTGAAATAGGAAGTATGTTTAATTCTTTAGAAAGTGCTAAACTGCTTTCCAAAGTGGTAGCACCATTTACATCCCTGCCAGCAGTGTGTGCAAGCTCCAGTTGCTCAGGGTACTACATCTTTCCCAATAGTGGGAATGGTCAGGCTTTTAAATTTTAGACATTCTAATAAATATGAAGCTATATTCCATTGTGGTTTTAATTTGCATTTCCCCAGTGCCTAATGATGTTGAGTGTCTTGTCATATTCTTATTTGCCGTCCATATTTCTCCTTTTGAGAGGCATCTGTTCAATCTTTTGCTCATTTTTAATTAGGTTGTTTGCTTTCTTAGTATTGAGTTTTGAGGGTTCTTTATTCTGAATACAAGTCCTTTATCAGATAATGTGATTTGGAAACATTTTCTTCCAATCTGTGGCTTATGTTTTCATTCTTTTAACAGAGATTTTTGGAGATTATTATTAATCTGCTAATTATTATTATTATTAGATGGGTTGTCGTATTTACTCATCGCAAAATAGCAGAGCAGCTATTATTATTTCTGTTTTACAGGTGAAGAAATTAAGGCTTAGAGGAGTTAGTCATTTGCCCAAGGTCACAAATTAGAAAGTAATGGAGCGAGAATTTGGACCCGGGACCATCTGAGTCCACAGCCTGAGCCCTTCTCCCCAGTTCTGGGCTCATGGCTACCTCTCGGTGCTGGGATGGAGCCTCTCTGGGGTGTTTGGCCCCACTGCCACTGCTGCTAGCGATGCAGGCCTGCTGAGCCCCTCCCGTGTCCCCATCTTTCCATCTCCTTCCTCCAGGCTGGTGGAGGAAGTGAAGGAGCTGTGTGATGGCCTGGAGTTAGAAAATGAAGATGTGTACATGGCATCCACCTTTGGGGACTTCATCCAGCTGTTAGTGAGGAAGCTGCGAGGGGACGATGAGGAGGGCGAGTGCAGCATTGACTACGTGAGTGCTGGGCCCTCCCTGCAGCAGGCCCTGCAGAGCCCTCAGGCAGCTGCATCTATGACTACATAAGACAAGAGGGGAAACCTGGACATTCAGAAAGCCAGGGCCCCAGGAGCCCACCCTTCAGTTTCCCACACTCTCCCTGCACCCGGGATAGCCTGGGGATGTCAGTACAGTGGGGCCAGCTTGCCAGAGGATGTTGCTGTCTGATGCTCAGGACATGGGCCAAACTCTGAGTCCCAAGGCAGGTGATCAAGATATTAAGAAGAGACTTTTAGTTCCCACTAAGGAAACAAATAATCCTATACATTCAACTTGTGTGTATGGAAGTGTGACAAGTAATTGAAAATCTGTTTTTTAAGGAAATTAAGAAATCTTCCTTGAGCTATCTTGGTAGACTGCCACCTCCCATAAGAATGGGCTTTAGCATAGTTTGTTTGGCTGGTAGATTGGAACAAAAGTGGGTGAAGTAAGGGGCCAAGGTGGACCTAAGGGTGTCCTTGGGATTGAGGACAAATGACTGACGAACAGATTTCAGGAGGAGGATCATATCCCAGAGGTGCCTGGGTTCAGGGAGGAATTGCCAATCCACAGGGATGTGAGTGGTGGGTTGTAGCATGTCTGGGGCTTGCCAAGGGCTTCACTAGCCACTGGCATTTTCCTCTGTCTGAGTCCTCTTAGCCCACCCTAAGGAGGCTGAGGAGCCAGCCCAAGGTGGCACAGGGAGTAGGTGGAAGCGCAGAGCTCCCGCCAGGCAGCCTGGCCTCAGAGCCTGTCCTTTGTCTCTCCCCTGCTCAGCTGTTGCCTACATGCAGCTCTGAAGCCCCAGGAGGCCCCTGGGCAGTGTGTGTGTGTGACTGTGTGGCCATCTGTGTATGCTTCCTGCACCCTGCATGGGTTTGTGCTTGTCACTGGGGCCTTTCTTTCAGGTGGAAATGGCAGTGAACAAGCGCACTGTCCGCATGCCCCACCAGCTCTTCATTGGGGGGGAGTTCGTGGATGCCGAGGGCGCCAAGACCTCTGAGACCATCAATCCCACCGATGGAAGTGTGAGTGCAGGCCCAGCACCCCTTCTCCACATTCCCCAGCCTCCCTGTCCTTCCTTCCCTGCCCCCACTGGCCTCTGGGGGTCCTGACCCTGAGAGTCTCTGCTTGGACATGTGCCTTTGAGAGGGACGGGAAAGAATGCCAGGTCGTTTCCAGCCCACCTTACTGGAGTGGAGTGGAGAGGAGGTGCAGGGTGGTGGCAGGTGGCAGGAGGGCTCGGAAGGGTCTTGCACCTGCTTCAGAGACTGGGAACAGAGTTCCTCCTACCCCAAGGAAGAAATTAGGCCACTGCCACACTTGCACACTTCAGCAGTAGCCCCAGTGTGAGACTACCTTGTCTACTACTTGAGCCCTCCACCGTTAGGACATTCTTCTTCGACCTGAGTCCTGTGTTTGCCACTCCTTCTTGACTGTGACCTTGTGGCATCATGAGCCAAAGCACGCCTATGGTAGATACACACGTGAACATATCCAAAACACAGGTTTCAAAGCAGGGCTTGCTTTTATGGCTGCATACTGACATTTTTCTATCCTGTCCATCCTATAGAATTGGCCAAGTCCTTGCAGAAGACAGAGAGCACACTCAAAATGAGTCATTTGAGAGGAGTTAATGAAAGACTCATCTGCAAAGGGAGAGGGAGGGGGTAGGGACACAGACAGGACAGTGCGGTGCCCTTGGGACGGAGCATCAGGAGGGGCTGAGGATGGGGCCTTGGCAGAAGGGGCATGGCTGTCTTGTGGCGGCAGACAGGAGGCACTGGCTTTGCCCTCCCTGGGCTGCCCTCACCACACCCCACCGGCTCCCCTCACCACACCCAGCAGGCACCAAGGTGAGGGAGCCTGCACGGATGGCACACTCAGGGCAGGAACAGGGTGGGGACCTTGGGGTGTAGACACACAAACAGCCCTCTCCCAGGGCCCTGTCTTCCCTTCCTGTGTAAACCCTCCCAGGGTTGTCCTTTGGCCATGCTTCTCCTCCACACCTGCTCATGTGGACAGGGGCCGCCTCACTGGGGCCCCAGGAGGAGGCCAGGGAAGCAGGCAGGGGTATCTGTGTGCAACTGGCTTAGGGAGAACTTGTCATGGCTCTGCTTCCACTATAGGTCATCTGCCAGGTATCCCTGGCCCAAGTCACCGACGTCGACAAGGCAGTGGCCGCAGCCAAGGATGCCTTTGAGAATGGACGGTGGGGGAAGATCAGTGCGCGGGACCGGGGCCGGCTGATGTACAGGTGGGAGCCCAACATGTACCTGCCAGCCACTGCCACCATCAGCTTCTGGGCAGTGGCACGGGGGGGACTTCTGTGGAGGCCCTTTTACCTGCCAGGAGGAGCTGGGTCCTGGGGAGGCTATGGGACCGAGGCCATCAGATGGGCCAGGCTGGGGCTCCTTGCCTGAGGCTCAGAAAAGGCTTCTCAGAGGAAGGGATATGAGAAACAGGAGACATTTCAGCAGAGTGGGCTCAGGGGAGGTGCCTGGTGGAGGTGAGGAGGTGCGGAAGCCAAGGGATGCTTCCAAAGTGGGCGCAGGCTGGGCCTCCCAGGCAGACAAAGCACTTCCCTCACCAGCCTGGGCTGGAGGGGACTTAGCTCCTGCACGCAGAAGACAGCAAGGGCCAGAGAAGGGCTGGCCTGGTCTCTGCTTGCTCAGCCAGGCTCTGACTACTGGAATCTATAGGTTTCACATTTTCTATTAAAAAAAAAAAAAAAATTTAAGCCAGGGAGAAAGGGGCCTTCTCTCCTTAGTTCCAGTTCAGACGTCTTAGGCAAGGACTTATGATGACTTTAGCTTATGACCTTAGAGTGAGAGGAAGGCCTGGAAGAGAGGTGCTGTGCCCCTGGAACCACAGGGCCTGGCGGGAAGGAGCAGTCACCCTCACAGAGGTGGAGTGATGTTCCTGGGAGAAGAGAGGGTGCGGCCAGATGAGCCGAGAACACAGGTGTCTTGGGGCCTGGCTCTTTCGCTGGGGTCCTGGGAACGTCTAGGGGTGCGAAGCCAAGTTATGGCGTGGTCCCAACGAAGCTCCTCACCTGGCAGGAGAGACCCTGCCTTGGCCTTGCGGTCAGAATGGCTTCTGTTTCTGTTATACTCCAGAGGCCAGAAAAGCCGGGGCAGCCCAGCAGCAGGAAACTAGAGAGAGGGGTTGCAAGAGCATGGTCTGCAAAACCGAATGGAGATTAGGGTTGGGGCAGGGAGGGCTGTGGGGGTCGGGCATGCCCAGCCTTTCATAGGTTCCAGTCCCCTTCGCAAGCCCCTCAATTCTAGAAAGGCACTGGCCACGCCAAGTGGTCCCTAGAGTTCCTGGAGGTCAGGAAGAGCTGTGAAACAAGCACGACAGGTGGCGGGAGAACCTCTGGCCTGGGCCCTGCGTGCGCGTTTGGTGGACCGCACAACCAACAGCGTGCGTGGGGTCCCTCCCTTGGCCTCTGCTGCCATCTGGTGGCTTGTATCATAACAGATTCTACTCACCCATAATGACAGTGAGGGGGGCACCCTGGGCAGCTGTAAGTGGACCCCTTCCTGTCCTATGCAAACTCTCAGGCCCCGTGAAGACCTGGGAGTGCCCATTACTGGTTCTGCCTCAGCTCAGCACAGCAGAGGCTGGGTCTAGGTGTCCCGGAGGGGGCAGTTCAGGAGCTCCCAGATAAATGGCTGCAGAGCACCCTGTCAGGGTGGCGGGACCACCGTGGGTGTTAGGGAACACGAAATTCACTGCAGGAATCAGACATTACACAATTGTGGAAGCTAGGAAGAAGGATCCAGAGGGAGAGTTAGACAAGGTTCCTAGGCAGTCCCCTGAACTCCTGGTAGACAGGATAGAACCTCCAGGGAGTAGGAGCAGCCGTATCCAGCTGCCAAGTGGGGCCACAAAGAGGAGCTCCTGGGAAAGACCGTGGGGGAGCTGCTGGCTCTGCCCAGATACCACTGTGGTCCACGGCTGAGAATCTGACGGTGGTCCAGGCTGCTGGTGGTCAGTAGGGCCGGCCGAGCCTGCTGGGCACCCCTGCATCTGCCCTGCAGACCTTCAGAGGGAGATGGCAGCAGCTTCACTTCTCCTGCACTGCTACCCTGGCACCCAGGGACTGGGCTCTGGGGAGCATGGGTGCCAGGGTGTGAATTCAGCAGCCTAACTGAATTAACAATAGAATAGTCCTGCAAGGCAGCCTCTCAGAGCTTCCCGAATAGTGCACTCGGGTGATGGATACTTTAGAAAGTGTGTCCTGGGAACTGGATTGATGACACAGCCATGTCACACACAGGTGGAATTATCTAGAAATGTGGGGGATTCAAAGGATTGGGGCTGATGAAGGAGAAGGATGTGAGCAGGGGAGGCATGGCACACCACAAGCTTTAGTGGGCTGCAGGTTGGGTAGGGTTGCAGGAGACGAGCAGTGAGACTGTCCCAAGGCTGCCGTGTGGGCTTCCATGTCCAGGTGACAACACACAGTGATGCAGTGGGAGCCTCTGGGTCTGAGGGCTGCCAAGGGCAGTAGCAGCTTTCACCTTATCACCCCAAGGCCCTGTTTTATCAATGGGCAACAACTGCTGGTTGAGGTTCCTCTGGGTATGCAAAGCAGCGGGCCCTAAGTGGCTAAAAACGTACCTGTTTGGGCTACTTTAAGCCTAACTGGGAGTGGGAAAATTTGAGTTTGGTGCCAGCAGGCTTTGGAGCAAATGGGTCTCATTTATATAACAAAGAGGCAGCTCCTGTCTTCGCAGCTGGGGAGCCTAGTCCTCTATCGGCCGCTAGGTGATGTTTTCACTATTTGCTGTACAAAATCGGTTTTTCTCAGGAACCGATTTACGCATGGGCTCTCCTTGCCCAGGGTGGCCTCGCTCAGTTGGTTTTATGCAGCAAACCTGAGCTGAGTGCTTCCCAGTGCTGTGCTGGAGCTGGGCGCTGCAGAGAGCAGGGAACCAGACAGCGCCCTGCCTCCTGCAGCCTGGATTCCAGTGGGCAGGCAAATCGTGATGAAATTATCATCTACCTGAATGTCTGTTACAAACTGTAGTGGTGGGGGAGTGAAGAAAGGCAGAGGAGGCTATCAGAGGATGTGACAGGGAGCTCTGATCAGTCAGAACATGGTTGGGGATTTGGGTCGGCTTCCCATTGAGTCCGTGTCTGAAACAAGTACAGAAGGCTAAGAGGAGAAACAGGAGTGTGGAAAGGGGGCCCAGACATGCAACACAGCCCCTAAAAGCCAAGGCAGGAGGCCTGACTGACCTGAGCACCTGGAAGAGGCCGATGTGAGGAGGAGGAGGGAGGCAGAGGAGCTGGGGTCTTGTGGCCCCAGAATGAAATGGAAATGGCCAGGAGCTGCTTGGCCAGGCACAGAGTTGCAGATGCATCCTGAGTGGCGTGGACAGCTGTCACGGGTCCTGGTGGGTGTAGGCAGGTGAGGACCGGAGCAGGCCTGGGGTGCGTGTGGGCTTCATGGTGCCTGGGTGCAGAGGGGAGCAGTGTGGGAAACGGCTGGCAGGCTTTGGTCCCACACTTGCCTCTGGGCCCGAGCTGCCCTGTCTCCAAGGCTGAGTTTGCTCTGGGCCTGTGGTCTCCACTTTCCCTGTCCACCCTCCCCCTAGGGGATGAGAGGGGCACCCTCATAACTCCCAGGCTGCCCACAGCTGCACATCCGTCAGAATCAAGGGAGGGCAACCCGACCTCGGCATGCTCAGGCTGAAGCCAGTCTGTGTAAACGCGTCAGCCCCCACGTTGCTCCCTAGTCAGCCCTTCTGTGATGGGGATGGGGCCACCTCTCCATCTCTGGAGATGCCAGGCTCAGGAGCATGCCCCCACCATCCTGGACTGAACAGTTGGTTTATTGGTGCTGGAAAGACAGATGGACTTTCTCCTGGTTCAAGCTTTCCGAAGACAGGAAGGGCAGCCTCTTGGGCCATGACCCCTTTGCTGTCTGCAGCAAGTGGGTGAATGCCTCTGCAGGATAATTTCGGAGGAATAGGATAAAGTAGTGGATCCACAAATACTTCAGGAAGGAAGCGAGGGAAGATCGAGGAAAGGAGAGAGGGACAGAGGGTGTCATCCTCACAGCTATCCGGTGGAGTAAACGGTGCTGGCCCATTGCATGGATCAGAAACGGAGGTCCGCACATCTGAGAGTGGCAGAACTGGGGTAGAGGGCAGGACCCCAGCTCCTTGAAGAAGGGCCTTGTGAGGGCAGATGAGGCCGTGCCAGGCCTGAGCCCACCTCCCGCTTCCCCTCACCCTGGTCAGGTTGGCAGATCTCATGGAGCAGCACCAGGAGGAGCTGGCCACCATTGAGGCCCTGGATGCGGGTGCCGTCTACACGCTGGCCCTGAAGACCCACGTGGGCATGTCCATCCAGACCTTCCGCTACTTTGCTGGCTGGTGTGACAAGATCCAGGTGGGGCCCAGGCTCCCACCCAGTGTGAGCACATGCAGACTGGCCCAGCCATATAGGAGAACTCCAAGGGCAGCACAGTCATCTGCATGCTGCGCAGCAAATGACCACAACTGGTGGCTTGGAATGACACCTGTTTATTAGCTTGTGGTCCTGCAGGTGGGAATTCCAGGCAGGCTGGGCTGGGTTCCATGCCAAGGTCTCACAAGGCCAAAGCTAAGGCGCTGGCTGGACTGGGCCTTATCTGGAGACTCTGGGACAGAACCTGCATCCAGACGAGTTCGGGTGTTGACAGAGTTCAGTTCCGTGTGGATGCAGGGCTGAGGCCGCAGGTCCTTCCTGGCTGCAGGTCCCTGCTCAGGGCACTGTATCTCCCAGCGGCAGCAGGTCACTCTCGGGCTTGGGATCCCTGTGACACTGTCTTCTGCCTGCTTTTCTGGGGGCTCCTGCAGTTATTCTGGGCTCATGGGCACTATGTCCCCACCTTAGGGTCAACAGGGACAGTCAACACCTCATAGGAGGGAGTGTCACCATATCTTCAGGCTCCCGCCATCAGTTGTGGAACTTGGGGGCCATTTGTAGAGGCTCCCTGGGGAGGTCCACCTCTGCAGGACTCATGGCGTCTCTGCCAGATCAGATCTGGGCTCCATGGTTCCTCCTCTCCACCAGGGCATGACAGCGACAAGGGAGGTGGGCTGCCTGGTGCCCGCCCCTACTCCGCAGCTGTGTAGCTTCTGGCTGCAGCTGGACCCCCCAAGGCCTGGGCCTTCTACATGTGCTCAACTGCTTAGAGCTGTGGGGAGGGGGACACCCGGCCCTGCCCCCACCCTCACCCTTTCTTGCTCGAATGTCAAAGCTAGAGGCTTTGCTGGTACCAGGACCAGCTTCCACCCAAGGGCTCTGCCTGCCAGGCTCAGAGTGGAGCAAACACCTTGCCCCTCTGGCTGCCCCCCTGCCTGTCTCTCAAGCCTCAGGTCACACCTAAGCTGGTCGCTTTGACTTCCTCCTGGAGACCCTGGTGGAGACTTGCTGCCTAGAGGGGAAGGGGTGTGGACCCTGGGCCCCTGGGTGACTGCCCCTGTTCCTCTTCCAGGGCTCCACCATCCCCATCAACCAGGCCAGACCCAACCGCAACCTGACCTTGACCAGGAAGGAGCCTGTTGGGTGAGTTCCTGCCCAGGGCGAGGTGCAGCCTCGCGGTGCTTTCCATGCAGTACACGGAACTGTAGCACAGCCTGCGGGAGCTCACAGCACCCTGTGCGTGCATTTATCAAACAGCCATCCATGTGCTTCTTGAGCACCTGCTCCATGCCAGGCATTGTTGTAAGGACTTGAGGACAATTGTATTTAATCTCCCAGTAACACTGGATCAGTCAGGTCCACGGTGGGAAACAAGAGTAAACCCAAAAAATGTCCAAAATGGGTATGGTGGTCAGTGTTCATAAAGATGAGGAACTCCTGCACAGCACTGAGGAACAGGAAATATAGAACAAAGGAGGAACAGGCAGAGGACGAGAGCTGCTCAGCAGGAGGAGTTCGGACCCCGCTGGATGCCAAGCATGTAGGCGCC